>NC_000020.11:8248153-8399668 GCF_000001405.40 Homo sapiens | reverse complement strand
GGAAAAATAGTTTTTTCTTGGGAGGTGGTTGTTGGAAAGCAGAGAATAGTATTGAGAGTAATATTTGATATAATGGGTTGGTAAAAAATGCCAATTTCTAATTGTTTTGTTATTCTAGAATAAGAATCCACTTTTCCCTTATAGAACTTGAATTTAAAGTATTTCAGTAAGCATTAATAGACACACTGAACAATGAAATAGTAAAAAATATTCCAGAAATAGATCCAGGTACACATGGAAGGAAACATTATATATGAAAAAGGTAAGTATTTTAACTCACCTAGACAAAAGTTGGACTTTTTGATAAGTAGTACAAAAGATAGACTTTTAAATAAGTGGTGTTGGCACAACTGGATTGCAAATAAAAAGAGATATACAATTGGACTTTTAAATAAATGTTATTGGAACACCTAGATACCAGGATAGGGCAAAAGATGGTCTGAAAAAAATAGTGTTGGGACAAAAGAACGGTAAGTTAGAAAAATAAAATTGGGTTCATACCTCATGACAAACAAACAAAAAAAACCTCCAAGATGCTCCAAGATCTAAATGGAAAATCACGAAGTCATACTAGAAAAAAAAAAAGAAGCTATAGGTGAATTTTCTTTATAAACTAGGCATGAATAAAGACTTACTAACTGTGACTCAAATGCCAAAAGCAATAAGATAAAATATTGATAAATTGACTAGATAAAAATAAAAACAAAAACTTACAAGGCAGAAACAACATCAACAACAGCAACAAAAAAACACCAAAAGCAAAATCAAAAGGGAAAAAATAAACCGGGAGAACATTTTTGCACCTCTAGGGTACGATAGAGAGCTAATTCTCCTGATATATAAAGAGCTCAAAAAAACCAAGGGGAGAAAAAAAGGACGAAATACCAGATGAAAAAAAAAAAGTGCAAATTATGCAAATGAGCATTGTGCTATTAAGTGAATGTTTGTCTCCCTTCAAAATTCATATATGGACGCTTAAACCCCAACGTGATAGGGCGTTGGAGGTAGGGACTTTGGGAAGTGATTAGGCCATGAGGGTGGAGCCCTCAAAATGGGATTAGTGTCTTTGGAAAAAGAGACTAGAGAGTCAACTCTCCCTCTCTCTGCTTTCCCCTATGTGAGGACTCAATGAGAATGCAGCCAACTGCAAACCAAGAAGTGGGCCCTCAGCAGACATGAGATTTGCTGGCACCTTGCCCTTGGACTACCCAGCCTCCAGAACTGTGGGTAATGTTTTTATTTCAGCCACCAGTCTATGGTAATTTGTTACAGAAGCCCAAAGTGACTAAGACATATTTATAATTTGTTATAGAAGTCCAAAGTGACTAAGACATATTTATGTATATTAAGACATATATTATGACATATTAAAACATATGACATATATTTATTAAGACATATATGTGTGTATAAATACATATTTATATATGTTTTAGAAATATATGTATGTATATACATGCATGGTCCTTAAACATGTGAAAGGAGGCTTAGTTTCATGCATAGGTAAGAAAAAGGTAAGTTAAAATGTATTGATCACATTTCCTGTCAAAGTGGCAAAAATAACAAGCTTAACAATACACTTTGTGGTGAGACTGTGTGAATAAAGATTCTGTAATACACTGCAAGGGGGGTAGAAAATGGTAAAATCTAAACAAAGAAAAAGTCTATGAAGATGTTAGCAAAACAAACAAATCTAGGAATTTATCCTGAAACTGAACTTTTGCATATGTAAAGGAAGGCATTTAAAAAAAAAATTGTAGCCTTATGCATAATAAAAAATAATGGAAACAACCTAAATGCTCATTCACAGAAGACTGAAAAAACTACAGAACCTCCATATAGTGGAGCAATATGCAGCTGTACAAAAGAATGAAAAAGATTCCCATGACCCATATGAAGAGGTATTGACGTTATATTAAGTAAAACAGGCAACCTATAAAAGCACATAGATAGAATGTTACATTTTGTGTAAGAAAGACTGAGGCAATTTACATATATTTTGAAAAAACTGGTGTCTCAATTCACTGGGGAAAGATGGACTTTTTATTAAATGAGATGAGAGGACTGGGTAGCTAGGTATGGGTTTGTGTGTGTGTTTCCTTATTTTTGTAAACAGAAACATGGTAAGGAAAACCAGAAGGTGGGTAGGAATAGGGTGGAAGGATATGGATGAGAGTGACTTCCCTGAGCATTCTTCTTTATATAATTTTGAATGCTGAGGCAAAGGAATATTTTATACTTTCCAAATGTAAAATTGATAAAAGCAATAGAGCATTTTAATCTCTAAAACTGAACGTAACTATAAATATATAAATCTAAGTGTATAGCAAATTAATAATATAACTCTATAGAAAATAATTTTAATAATCTTGGAGTATATATTCTTAGTGAAGCATACAATAAGGAATAAAGATAATTGCAAAGAAACGTTGGATTTTCTCTAGTGGACTTGTATTAGTAGCAACAGTATTTTTATTCTAGAATTATTTTGTGTAGACTATGACAAAGAAGTGAATACATTAATGCAGTAAGGAATCAAAATTGCCACTATACAAAAACAGATATACATGAAAGAAGAGGAAATGAGGAAGAAACCTGTGATAATGGATTGAATTAGATCTATTTGGATCTGTAATCTCACTGCTAGGATTACAATTTGAGGCATTACCAAAGAATAAAAACGCCAAATGAAGAAGAGATATCTGCTTCAGATTTACCTATAATAGCAAAAATAAAACAGAAATTGTCTACTCAAAAGTAAATAGTAAGTAGTTAATATGATTTCCAATCAATGCATTATTATTCAGCTATACAACTGATAAATATTAAAAATATTTAGAATCATGGCCATGCTTACAGTGTCATGTTAGATGAGAAAACTTTAATATGTTACGTATGCAAATATATAGATGAACACAGTTTGATCTTTGGGAAAATAAACAGACGATTGTGTATATCTGGAATTACTAAACCACGAAGGCAACTTATTTAGTTGAATTTTTTTCAAAGCAACTTTTTGTGTTAACAGTAGCATCAGATGTTGACAAAATTAAAGACTCACTTGCTGTTACTCTTCCCACCTTGTTTTTCAACTGGACTGAGCAACTTCCCATTTTTTTGAAATTGAACCTTTATTAAGGCAATAATTCAGGACTGGCCTCTAAAATAATTGGTTTTTCTCTTCTCAATCATACAACCGAATAATTTATTTAAGGCCAAGGACACATAATTCTAGTGTTGCAGTGTAGTGCTAGGATTAATAGTGCATGAAATTTTTGCCACATGCAACTAATACCAACTAATGCCATTAAAGCAATATGTTTTGGTTGGATTAAAAGAAATATTTTGAATCCCCTTGGATCCACCACAGATTGAATTTCTGTCCTTGAGTGAACGTTGCCACACCTTATTAATTGAGGTAAAGATGCCATCAACACAGTCAGATGATACTTCTGAACTTTCAGCTCCCCACTTCTGTAGTTATATGGTTTTAGATATATGATTTATTATCTAACATCTTGTTGCCAGAGAAACAAGCTCAACTTACAAAAGTAAGGCATGATTCAGCTCAATATATTACTTTTCTGTTACAACTTTGTAGTTTCTCTGTTTACAATCTAAACAGGGCATGAATATTAGTAAATTACAAGCCGAATATTTGAGGGACATGATTAAAAGAAGCTTGATGAGTTTCCAGACACTTGGAAGAGTTGTAAGCATTTACCAGGAATAATTTAGAATAACATGGTACAGTTAAGTATCAGGGGAAAATATATTTACAGAGAAGAGTATCCATCTATTATGACTTTCTATATTTTATAGTCTAGAATAACAATTTGTTTTTTTTTTAAAATGGGAAAAACAGATTTCTAGTCACACCTTCACAGTATTTCAAATGCTCTACAGTATCCTTCAAATAAATTATTTGACTTAAGAATTCTCAACTCAAACCATGAAATTTTGAGCAGCTAAGCATAAAATTAAATACTGAGTCTAGTTCGCTATTACTTACACAATTTATTCTTTAACATACTTTCTCAAAGTTTTATAAACCACCAACTCATGTGAAATATCCCACTCAATCATCTATTTTTATTTTAGATATTCTAAGAGCTATTCCTTTTCAATATTATGTATAGATAATTTATTTGAAAGCATTATTGACTTTAAAATTGTGTAAACTTAAAATTTAATTTTCCTTATTCAGCCATTCCACATTCTTTGGTATATGTGTAGGACAGAACTAATATAAGAGATCTTAAATTAATTTTATTTAGATTTTCATCTGGTATCCATAAGTAATAATATGTAGACAATGCCTTCTAAAGAATCTTTAATCTTCAAACAAAATTGCAAGCAAATTGATTAATAGAGAAGCATGTTTCAGAGACCCATAAAATAAAATAAATGTCTCATTAACTACTGCTTTCGACAGTAGAGATTTATCTATGGCAAAAATAATAAAGTCAATAGGTGTTCAATTTCCCATATTGTTTGTATGTACCTCAACCAAGGAAACTTCTTTTTAAACTCTTACTAAATTTATTTATACTAAGGTACTATAAGAATCAAGGAAAATGTAATTCATGCACAGATACAAAATGACTAATTTCAACTAAAGAGAGTCAAATTTAATTTTTAATTAACATTCATAGAAAGAAAAATTGTGTTTGCTAAACAATTTTAACCAGGTATTACAAATCTTGAAATAGTCTAGGAAGAAACGATTTAATTTAAAAGTTTAACATGACCTTACTATTTTTGAAATATGAGTGATGCTCAAAGCTTTTGAAAAATATTGTTAAAGATACCATTAAAAGTGAAAACTTTGCCAGATAGAAGCCTATATACTATAGATGGCAAATGCAAATACCTAAAGAAAAACATTGAGAATATGGATGATGCAACCAAGAGTTTAACTTGTCAAATAATGGCACAGCTTCAAGCCTATTAAACATATGCACTAATGGCCTATAGTTTTAAGGATAACAGTAACTACAACTTACAGATCCCCTATTATGAAATATATGTTATGGCCTTTAGTCCTCACAATAACCCTGAGAAATAGTACTATTAACTTCATTTTATGGATGAAGAAAGCAAGACATGAAGTTAAGCAACTTGATTGTGACCACATGAGTAATACTGGTGGAGCCTCTTAACCACTGCTGTTCCCCAGTGTGAGGATACAGAAGCAAAGCCTCACTTTCAGGGCATAAAAGTCAACTCCCATGAACCAGAGAATCATCAGACTTCTTTCTTTCTGCACACACACACCAGGAACCGAAAAGAAACTATGACTATTAAAAGTTATTGCTCCCTAAGTAAGTTCTACCACTTTTAATCTAACCTCAATTCAAGGTTTACCTTGACTTAAAATCCTTCCACAAAGGCCAAGTAGTACCAATTTTATATAAGTCATAAGATGTGAAACCATAGAAAAATAGGCTCTAGAAATAGTTAAGAGTGGACAGAGAATCTCACTCTAGTGGTACACTAGGCATTAGGCTTGTCTAAATGCCAGCATAGATTCCAGGTGCTATGGGAATAAATGAAATTCTTGTGTTTTGAGTAATATGTGGGCAATGCTGATGGTTTTCTGTCATAAGGTCTCAAATTAAAAAAATTAATTAGGTGGGAAGAATGCAAATAGTAAACTTTAAAATTCAAAACATCATAATATAATACAAGACAAAATTCAACATTATATTAATATTATCAAGATATATGAAAAAGGCCTTTCTGGTTTAGATCACCTAAGAACCTGTTCTCTAAACATCTTTAATAGGATCTGCACTACTGTGAAGACAAGCATCACTCATAAACTGGTGTTCTAGTTTATTAAGTGTGGTTAACTTCATAATAAATGGCTTTTAGAACATTTATATTAATCCTATGAGATGCTTGTGACCAAGAGACCCATAGTTAAAGAAAAAAGAAAGAAGTGACACTAACCCATGTCCAACACATCAAAAGCTGTGAGAAATCCTGCAATAAAGGAACCCTTAGCATTTCCCAAACTTATTTGACCAGTCACCCAGGCCGGAGTGCAGTGGTGCAATCACAGTTCACTGCAGCCTTGAACTCTGGACTCAAGAAATCCTCCCGCCTCAGCCTATACTGAGTAGCTGGGAGTATAGGCAGGCATGCACCACTGCATCCACCTATATTTTTTTTAAGAGATAGGGCTTTGGGTCTCAAACTCCTGGCCTCAAGCAATCCTCCTGCTTCGGCCTTCCAAAGTGCTGGTATTACAGATGTGAGCCACCACACCTAGATGACATTTTTATAGCATCTATTAGTATTCCAAGGAACTCACTTGGAGAAACAGTGAGTTTTGGTTTTGATAAAGTATTCTATATACCTGAGGAAAAAAAAATACAATAACTGTTCACAGAGCTATGCCCATTCATGGCAGGCAGTGATGAGCAAATTCTTCTCTCAAGCCCTCTGTTCTTACCTGAAATCAGTAATTCTTGGGTATAAATATAAAAATCAAGCAGCATTTGAGTACAGAAGTACCAGGTGGCATAGAGAAAATGTATTAGGTGTGTGAGGAGAATTTTCTGATCTTTTAATCTCAGTGGTCTTGTCTCACCTTTAAACACCAACAAACATACTGTCTAATTAGTTAGGTTATTCCATCTTCTTGAAATCTCTATGGACATTAATTTCAGGAGTTCCGGAAAACTTTATTTCATCATTAACAAATATCTGTTAAGTGGCAAATATGTTACTATCTTAATTGCCACTTTTCACATAAGATAAATGCCATAGATAGGAATTCTTTCATCTACGAAAATACCTACTATGGGTCATGTATCACATCCAAAGGCAGTGATATAGGATTTCACTTTTTTATGGTACATTGAAGGAATTTAAGAATTTTCAGCCATTTCCCATTCAAAGAAGACAAAACACAAATTTCTCAGAATAAACTGGTATACATTCCTAAGTTCCTTCCACTCTACCCAACTTACTCACAAATTGATATTACTATATCACACATTATGGCTGGCAAATCCATTTGAGAGATGTATATCATTTAGTTCTCCCAATAGCTCCATGATGGATACAAATATTACCTTTAGTCCCCAGGGATCATCCTGCTTGTCTCTTTCATTTTTTATGAGGAAGGTGAGATTCCTAAAAGATGGTATGACTCTACCCAGGTTATTCCATCAGCTGCAGTACCCAAATTAAAAACTAGTATCTTAGTCTATGTGTGCTACTATAACAAACAGACCGGCCAATTTATAAGCAAAGATCTGTCAGGTGGGAAATATTTACAGAAATTTATTTTCCACAGATGTGAAGGCTGGGAGGCTCAAAATCAAGGCGTAGACAGGTTCCGTGTCTGGTGAGGGATGCTCTCTGTTTCAAGGTGGCATTTCGAATGCTGTGTCCTCAGATGGGCCAAGGAGGAAGGGCAAAAAAGACTGAACCTTGAGTGAAATCTCTTTTATAAGGACCTTAATCACATTCATGAGGGAGGAGTTCTCATTGCCTAATCACCTTCAAAAGGCCACAACTTTAAATACTATTGCATCGGCGATTAAGTTTCAACATGAATATTGGAGGGGACGCAAACTTTCAAACTATAGGAACTCGCTGCTCATAAACTGGACAGTGCCCAGTTTATTATGAGTCCTAAAGCTGAAAAGGAATTGTAATGATATACTCCATATTTTCAGAGAATATTCCCATTTCAAAATGTTTCTTTCGTTAAATTACATCCCAGTATTTTCCCCTGCTGGAACATGTATCAAATTACATGCCACATTAGTTTATGACCTAATCTCCAAAATTGAGGAAGTTCAAGTAATATATATATATGTGTGTGTATATATATATATATATATATATATATATATATATATATACACACACATATATATATATATACTTCATTATTTACCAGTCTCACAGAACATTAAGAAGAATACACTGAAAAGTGAACTTAAGGCCCATAGGGAAGTAAGTAGTATCAAACATTATGATTTATGTCTTGTTACCAGTTAAAATCCAACTAGCAAGACAAATCAATACAGCAAGTATTATCATTCACAGGGAAACCAATAAACCTTCCTGGGTTCTCTCAGCTAATAAGTGCACTGGAGTTTGAATCTGGGTCTCTCTGACCCCTAACCTTGTTATTCCATTTCAAAACAGTGCTTTGGATTTTGCTTCAATGACTTCATAGTGCAGAAAAAGATACCCGCATGTTCTTAACTGAAAGTAAATTGCTCTAAAATTATTTTGATGGTTGGAAAATCTATTTAACTGTTGGCAAATCTAGACAGTTTTCTAAATAAGAACTGTAAGTCTTAGTACAACAATATTGCTGTGATAGTTCTCTGGGGGTAGGTGTTTGGCTGCAAAGAGAAATATGCCTCAAGTTCATTTTTCTATAGCTAATACATAGAAGTTAGATTTTAATCAGTAGGTTTAAATGCCACAGCTACAAAAGTATAAATCTCTTATACATAGATTATAGTGACAATCTATATATATAAATATAGATTATAGTGACAATCTATATTAGTGCATGGAATTCTATGGTAAATAGGTAAATTATGCCTATTTAACTTGCTTTTTCCCACTACATCACATACATGTAAGTTATATATTTTATTTACTTAATAATGATGGCAAAATGCATTTAGACAAACAATGGATGTGACAATTGTGTTAGGTGCCTTACGTGCATTTTGTCATTTAGTCCTTACCGCAACTAGATGATATAAACATGGCGATTATTCCTGTAATTCAGATGAAGAAACTAAGTCTCAGAGACATGATATAACTTGCAGGATTATACAGCTTGTTATTGGTGTTGTGGCTTGGCTTTCTGACCCAAGAGCTTGTGACCTTAATAACTATACTCTTATAGGCACTTGCAATACACAAAGACACATACTGGGTGCCCTGGGGCATGCAGAAATTAGTGCTGATAATGCCAAATCAACATATTCTGTACTAAAGCCACTCTGCAAAAGCAATTGTGTATTTCTGAAATGATTCTGACTATGCAGTTTTATCCACATTGACCATTGTATTGATTATAAAGAAAAAAATCTACTTTTCTATATTAAACCAACAGCAAAATAATCATACACTGCTACTCCTTATAAAGAAGCAAATCCTAAGCTAGGCTTTGTAATGTAATGAGGGAACACTGTTAAGGGCTGACTTGTGTCCCCTCAACATTTATATGTTGAAGTATTAACCCCCAGTAATTTAGAAGGTAATAGTATTTAGCAATAGTGCTTTAAAGAGGTAATTAAGTTAAATGCATTCATGAGGGTGGGCCCTAATGCAATACAACTTGTTCCTTATTAGAAGAGGAAATTAGGAATAGAAACAGAGGGAGGACCACGTGAAGATGCGGGGAAGGCAGCCATCTGTAAGCCGAGGAGAAAGGCCTCCAAAGAAAATAACCCTGCTGGCACTTTTGTCTCAGACTTCCCGCTCCCAGAATTGTGAGAGAATAAACTTCTGTTGTTTAAGCTTTAAGCCACTTAGCCTGTGGTACTTTGCTGTGGTAACCAGAGAAGACTGATACAAGTACCGTGGTGTACTTCTCTACATTAAGTATAGTGGTCAAGTTTAAGGAAAACTTGACTGAAAAGTGGTCCTTTTGACAAGCATATTTTGTAGGAAAATTCTCAATGCTTTTCTGTGTAAAATCTCTATTTTCAAAAGAGAAATCATCCATTTAAGCTGGTACTCTTTTTACTTAGACGAATGGTTTTGAAACTTGGTTGAACACTGGAATCTCTTGGGAACTTTAAAGAAAATATCAGTGTTGGAGCCCCACAGCAGACATTTCAATTTAATTGATTGGGGTGTGGCCTGCACATCAGGATTTTAAAAGCTCCCCAAGTGCTTCTCATATCTCTATATTAGAACCCATGATTGAAAACCCTGGCTTAGAGAGCAGTTCACTATGTAGAATTAATTTAAGAATTTAATATCGGATATGTCCACAAGATGGCGCATTATTGCGTTTAAAAGAATTAAAATTGAGAAATGTTTCCCAAATGCAACTATGTACCATTGCATGTAGAACAAATTGGATTTACGTTGAAATTACACCAGACAGGGGCAATGATAAAAATGAGTCACAATCTTCTGAAAAGACCTGGGTTTCATTAACTCATGGTACTAATTCTGTCTTCAACAACAGGTCCACTCTGGGCCTCCGTGAGAATGTTCTTGGCTGCCAGGCCTTTCACCTACTATTACCCTTGAGCAGAACCGTGACCTTTCCCTTACCTTCTCTACAACCTCTCCAGGTCCTTTAGAACCCTTTGGCAATAAGGTAATAGGACAGATGCTGGCCATTATAAATGACATAGAATCTTGATTCAACCACACACATATGCAGTTCACTGTATTTTACAAATGGACACCATATATACTGAAAAATGTAGGCATTGCCTAAACATGCAGATTTAACTGTTGATAGGAGATACACCAACCTCTTCTCAAATTTGGGAAATTATACCACCCCAGAAAAGACTTAACATATCTGCGATTTTTTTTTAAAGTAAAAAGCTTTTAGCCATTAAAGAAAATATTCTACATTTTAATAGTAGCTTTAAAAATCTTATCTTGTGCACTATTGAATGGCCATGATGGTAAGGGGCAGGGAGAAAAGTCAGAAGAGTTTTAAATGCAAACATCTGCCAAGGGAACCATTCCTTAACCACCCCTGAACCCCTGCCAGCATCCTGATATTTCTGCTACCAAATCTCTGACTAGTTATATAAAGGTTTTTGTTTCCAAGGAAACCACTGACATCTATGGAATTTAATGAACATAAAAAAGGAACTATGCCATATAATTTACATCTAAAGATAAATGTGAATAGCTGTCAAAACCATCACACACACACATGCACGCACACACACAGATCATTCAATAAGTTGTTAGCCCTATTTTGCTCCATTTAGTAAAGATGTAAATAAAAACACATTTATAGTAACAAAATGACAAAACAAACCAAAAAACAAACCAAAAAAACTACTGAAGCATGTTAGGTAAATTAAGAAATAGTTGGAACCAAGAATAAGGGTCAAAGGTTGATCTCCTTAGCAATCAGGAGAAAAAAGGAGAAACCTTTACTTTGTTGTGTAAAGAGTTTTCTTCTTCTTTCCTAAACCTCAAATATCTATACCAAATTTTATGACTGTGGCTTCACATAATGGTGAAATCTGTACAAAGTCAGGGAAACAGCTTATAATCAGCAATGGGAGACAATAAATAAAGCATTCATTTCAACTCCAGGCCTCATGGATGATTCATTGAAACCACTGTTGTATAACATCCAAATAACAGCTCATTATGAGATTTATATATTGGCATCCAGATTCTATGATGAGCTATTTGAGATTTGACAACCCTTAAATAAACGGCCTAATTTGAATATTAGCAGGAAACGGTCATGATATAAGGGAAAAAAAAGCATATACAAAAGGGTATTGTCAGTAAAGTTACAAGTGTGCCAAAGTGAAGTCTCCATAAAAAAAGAAAAGCTAGAAGGAAATTCATCATTTGACCTGAATTCACCATTTGATTTCCTCCATGAAATATTTTTTAGGCATCCAGGAAATACACTGTTCTGGTTCTTCTCCCTCCTCACTGGTTGCTCCTTCTCAGTTTCTTCTTTTTTTTTTTTTTTTTTTTAAAAAAAGTGGTAAAACATACATAATATATAATTTACCATTTTTAAGTGTACAGTTCAGTGGCATTAAGTAGATTCACACTGTTGTGCAACCATCACCACCATCCATCTCTAGAACTTTCTCATCTTCTCAAACTAAAACTCTGTACCCACTAAACAATAACTCCCCATTTTCTCCTCCCCCAGGCCCAGCAACCACCATGCAACTTTCTATCTCTAAGGATTTGACTACAATAGCTACAAGCACACCTCATTTTATTGCACTTTGCTTCATTGTGCTTTGCAGATATTGTGGGGGTTTTTTGTTGTTTGTTTTTACAAATTGAAGGTTTGTGGCATTCCTGAGTCCAGCAAGTCTGTTGGTGCCATTTTTACAAAGCATGTGTATGCTTCATGTATCTGTGTCACATTTTGGTAATTTTCACAACATTTGAATAATTAATATATCTGTTATGGTGATCTGTGATCAGTGATCTTTGATATTACCATTGTAATTGTTTTGGAGCATCAGGAACTGCACCTATATAAGATGTTGAATTTAATGAATAAATGTTGTGTGGGTACTGACTGCTCCATTGGCCAGCTGTTCCCTTATCTTTCTCCCTCTCCTGGGGCCACCCTTTTCTCTGAGACACAACAATATTGAAATTAGGCCAGTTAATAACCTTACAATGGCCTCTAAGTGTACAAGTGAAAGGAAGAATCATGCACCTTTCACTTTAAGTCAAAAGCTAGAAAAGATTAAGCTGAGTGAGGAAGGCGTGTCAAAAGCCAAGATAGGCCAAAAGCTAGACCACTTGTGCCAAGCAGTCAGCCGCCCAGTTGTGAATGCAAAGGAAAAGTCCTTGAAGGAAATTAAAATTGCTACTCCAGTGAACACACAAATGATAAGAAAGCAAAGCAAACGTATTGCTGATAGGGAGAAAGTTTGAGCCATCTGGATAGAAGATCAAACCAGCCCCAATGTTCCCTTAAGCCAAAATCTAACCCACAGCAAGGCCCTAACTCTCTTCAGTCCTGTGACAACTGAGAGAGGCTAGAAAGCTGCAAAAGAAAAGTATGAAGCTAGCAGTGGTTGGTTCATGAGGTTTAAAGAAAGAAGCCTTCTCCATAACATACAAGTGCAAGGTGAAGCAGGAAGTGCTGATGGAGAAGCTACAGCAAATTACCCAGAAGATCTAGCTGAGATCATTGATGAAGGTGGCTACACCAAACAACAGATTTTCCATGTAGACAAAACAGCCTTCTGTTGGAAGATGATGCCATCTAGTACCTTCATATCTTGAGAGAAGTCAATGCCTGACTTCAAAGCTTCAAAGGACAGGCTGACTCTCTTGTTAGGCATTAAGGCAGTTGGTAACTTTAAGTGGAAGCCAATGCTCATTGACTGTTCTGGAAATCCTAGGGCCCTGAAGAATTATGCTAAACCTATTTCACGTGAGCTCTATAAACAGCACAACAAAATCTGATAACAGCATATCTGTTTACAGCATGGTGTACTAAATACCTTAAGCTTACTGTTGAGACCTAATGCTGAGAAAGGATTCCTTTCAAAATATTAATGCTCATTGACAATGCACCTGGCCACAAAAGAGCTCTGATGGTGATATACAAGGAGATTAATGTTGTTTTATACCAGCTAACGCATCCATTCTGTAGCCCATGGATCAATAAATTTGACTTTCAAATCTTATTATTCAAGAAATACTTTAGGTAGGGCTACACTGCTATAGATAGGGATTTTTCAGATGGATGTGGGCTAAGTAAATTTAAAACCTTAATTCACCATTCTAGATGCCATTAAGAACATTCAAGATTCATGGGAGAAGGTCAAAATATCAACATTAAGAGGAGTTTGGAAGAAGCTGATTCCAATCCTCATGGACGACTTTGACTTCAGTGGAGAAAGTCACTGTAGTTGTGGTAGAAATTGCTAGAGGACAATAATTATTATTAGAACCTAAAGGTGTGACTGCTTTGCTGCAATCTTATAATAAAACTTGAACGGGGAGGCAGGGCCAAGATGGCCAACTAGGAGCAGCAGCCATCAGAGAGGCTCCATCAAAAAGAATCATAATAGTGTGTGAATCCTCCACCAGCAATCAAGATATCCAGGTTCTCTCATCGGAACTGACGAGGCAGCTGGCATGATCCATGGAGAGGAAGGAAGAGCAGTGTGGTGTGGTGGTCCACCTGAGAGCCACATGGGAGAGGGGAGCCCTCACCCCCCAGCCAAGGGAGGCAGCGAGTGAGCGTGCTACCCAGCCGGGGAAACCATGCTTTTTCCACAGAACTGTGCAACCCATGGATCGGAAGATCCCACTCGTGAACCCACGCCACTGGGGCCTAGGGTCCCAACCCCAGAGCTGTGCAGATTCTCAACAGCCTCTCAGCTCGAATCTGCTTAAGCCTGCCAAGTTCCCAGGGGGAGGGGCCACCAGCACCACAGCTGTGGCTGCCTGCTGTCTAAGCCATTTGAACTCCTTGGAGGAGGGGCAGCAGCCAGCACTGGGACTTGTAACTGCCTGTCACGCTAAGCTCCCTGGGTGGGGAAGGACAGCATCCATCTCTACAGCTCCAGGCCATGCTTTTCCTCTCCTGGGGCCAGGAAGGCTGGGCAGCTTGGTCCCAAGAGGTTCCCCCACAGCCCAACACACCAGCTGTGGCAGACTGCAGCCAGAGTGCCTCTTCAGGCCTGACCCTGACTCATCCTTTCTCACTTGGTGGGGACTCCTTGCAGGAACTCCAACTCCAGCCAGAGGCTCAGGGAAAGAACCCTGATCTTCCTGGGCCTGAGCCCCAGGGAGAGGAGTGGCCGCAGTTTCTGTGGACCAGTAGACTTAGCCTTTCATCCTGGTAGTTCTGAGGAATCCAGGCAGCCCAGAAGAGTGGGTTTCTCCCCAGCGAAGCACATCCCCTCCACCAAGTGACAGTCAAAGTGCTTCATTAAATGGGTCCTGTTCCCTGTGCCACCCAGCTGGGTAAGACCCTCCAACGTGGTTGTCAGACACCCTATACAGGAGCGATCCTACTCGCATCAGGTTGGTGCCCCTTGAGGTCAGAGATGCCAGAAGAAGGAGCAGGCACCCATCTTTGCTGTCCTACAGCCTCCTTGAGTGACATCTCCTGGTGCGAGAGCAAACCAGATGAATAGGGCCTGAAGTGAACCCCCAGCAAACTGCAGCAGCCCTATAGAAGAGGGACCTGACCACTGAAAGAAAAACAAACAAACAGAAAGCAACAACAACAGTATCAACAACAAAAAATCCCCACAAATACTCCATCCAAGGGTCAGCAGCCTCAAAGATCAAAACTAGACAAACTCATAAAGACGAGAAAGAATCAACAAAAAAACACTGAAAACCCAAAATGCAGAGTGCCTCTTCTCCTCCAAAGGACCTCAATGCCTCTCCAGCAAGGGTGCAGAACTGGACAGAGGATGAGATGGACGAACTGACAGAAGTAGGCTTCAGAAGATGGATAATAAAAAACTCCACTGAGCTAAAGGAGCATGTTCTAATCCAATGCAAAGAAGCTAAGAACCTTGATAAAAGGTTAGAGGAGCTGCTAACTAGAAAACCAGTTTAGAGAGGAACATAAATGACCTGATGGAGCTGAAAAATACAGCACAAGAACTTTGTGAAGCATGCACAAGTATCAATAGCCAAATCAATCAAGCAGAAGAAAGGATATCAGAGTTTGAAGACCACCTTGCTGAAATAAGGCATGCAGACAAGATTAGAGAAAAAATAATGAAAAGGAACAAACAAAGCCTCCAAGAGATATGGGACTATGTAGAAAGACTGAACCTACGATTGAATGGAGTACGTGACAGGGACAAGGAGAATGAAAAGAAGCTGGAAAACACACTTCAGGATATCATCCAGGAGAACTTCCCCAACCTAGCAAGATAGGCCAACATGCAAATTCAGGAAATACAGAGAACACCGCTAAGATACCCCACAAGAAGATCAACCCCAAGACACATAATTTTCAGATTCTTCAAGGTCAAAATGTAGGAAAAAATGTTAAGAGCAGCCAGAGAGAAAGGCCAGGTCACCTACAAAGGGAAGCGCATCAGACCAACAGCAGACCTCTCAGTAGAAACCCTATAAGCCAGAAGAGATTGGGGGCCAATATTCAACATTCTTAAAGAAAACACTTTTCAACCCAGAATTTCATATCCAGCCAAACTAAGCTTCATAAGCGAAGGAGAAATAAAAGCCTTTCCAGACAAGCAAATGCTGAGGGATTTAGTCCAGGCTTGACTTGCAAGAGCTCCTGAAGGAAGCACTAAATATGGAAAGGAAAACCAGCCATTGCAAAAACACACCAAAATATAAAGACGAATGACACTATGAAGAAACTGCATCAACTAGTGTGCAAAATAACCAGATAGCATAATGATGACAGGATCAAATTCCCATGTAACCATACTAACCTTAAATATAAATGGGATAAATGTTACAATTAAAAGACACAGACTGGCAAATTGGATAGAGTCAAGACCCATCGGTATGCCGTATTCAGGAGACCCATCTCACATGCAAAGACACATATAGGCTCAAAATAAAGTGATGGAGGAAAATTTACCAAGCAAATGGAAGCCAAAAGAAAAAAGAAAAGCAGGGGTTGCATTCCTAGTCTCTGACAAAACAGACTTTAAACCAACAAAGACAAAAAAAGGGCATTACATAATGGTAAAGGGATCAATTCAACAAGAAGAGCTAAATATCCTAAATATATATGCACCCAATACAGGAGCATCCAGGTTCATAAAACATGTTCTTAGAGACCTACAAAGAGACGCAGAGATTCCCATACAATACTTGTTGGAGACTTTAACATCCCACTGTCAATATTAGACAGATCAATGAGACAGAAAATTTACAAGTATATTCAGGACTTGAACTCAGCTCTGGATCAACGGGACCTAACAGATATCTACAGAACTCTCCAACCCAAATCAACAGAATATACATTCTTCTCAGTATCACATGGCATTTACTCTAAAATCAACTACATAATTGGAAGTAAAACACTCCTCAGCAAATGCAAAAGTACTGAAATCATAACAGTCTGTCAGACCACAGTGCAATCAAATTAGAACTCAGGATTAAGAAACTCACTCAAGGCCAGGTGTGGTGGCTCATGCCTGTAATCCCAGCACTTTGGGAGGCCGAGGTGGGCTGGTCATGAGGTCAGGAGATCGAGACCATCCTGGCTAACATGGTGAAACCCCGTCTCTACTAAAAATACAAAAATTAGCCAGGCATGGTGGCAGGTGCCTGTAGTCACAGCTACTCAGGAGGCTGAGGCAGGAGAATGGTGTGAACCCGGGAGGTGGAGCACAAGAGTGAACTGAGATTGTGCCCCACTGTACTCCAGCCTGGGTGGCAGAGTGAGACTGTGTCTCAAAAAAAAAAAAAGACACTTTGAGAGGCCAAGATGGGTGGATTACGAGGTCAGGAGATCGAGACCATCCTGGCTAACATGGTGAAACCCCGTCTCTACTAAAAATACAAAAAAATTAGCCAGGTGTGGTGGTGGGCACCTGTAGTCCCAGCTACTCAGGAGGCTGAGGGAGGAGAATGGCGTGAACCCGGGAGGCGGAGCTTGCAGAGAGCCGAGATCACACCACTGCACTTCAGCCTGGGCGACAGAGCAAGACTCCATCTCAAAAAAAAAAAAAAAAAGAAAAAGAAACTCACTCAAAACCACACAATTACATGGAAATTGAACAACCTGCTCCTGAATGACTCCTGGGTAAATAATGAAATTAAGGCAGAAATCAAGAAGTTCTTTGAAACCAATGAGAACAAAGAGACAACGTGTATCAGAATCTCTGGGACACAGCTAGAGCAGTGTTAAGAGGGAACTTTATAGCACTAAGTACCCACATCAGAAAGCTAGAAAGATCTCAAACTGATACCCTAACATCACAATTAAAAGAGTTATAGAAGCAAGGCCAAACTAATCCAAAAGCTAGCAGAAGACAAGACATAACTAAGATCAGGGCAGACCTGAAGGAGATAGAGACATGAAAAACCCTCCAAAAAAAATCAATGAATCCAGGAGCTTCTTCTTTTTTTCCCGAAAAAATTAACAAAATAGATAGACTGCTGGCTAGACTAATAAAGAAGAAAAGAGAGAAGAATCAAATGGACACACTAAAAAATGATAAAGGGGATATCACCACTGACCCCATAGAAATACAAACTACCATCAGAGAATACTATAAACACCTCTATGCGAATAAACTAGAAAATCTAGAAGAAATGAATAAATTCCTGGACACATACAACCTCCCAAGACTAAACCAGGAAGAAGTCAAATCCATGAATAGACCAATAACAAGTTCTGAAATTGAGGCAGTAATTAATAGCCTACCAACCAAAAAAAGCACAGCATGAGATGGATTCATAGCTGAATTCTACCAGAGGTACAAAGAGGAGCTGGTACCATTCCTTCTGAAACTATTCCAAACAAATGAAAAGGGGGGACTCCTCCCTAACTCATTTCATGAAGCCAGCATCATCCTGTTACCAAAACCTGGCAGAGACACAACAACAACAAAAAAAACTTCAGGCCAATATCCCTGATGAACATCGATGCAAAAATCCTCGATAAAATACTGCAAACTAAATCCAGCAGCACATCAAAAAACTTATCCACTACGATCAAGACAGCTTCATCCCTGGTATGCAAGGCTGGTTCAACATATGCAAATCAATATATGTAATCCATCACATAAACAGAACCAAGATAAAAACCATGTGATTATCTCAATAGATGCAGAAAAGGCCTTTGATAAAATTCAACATCACTTCATGCTAAAAACTCTCAATAAACTAGGCATTGATAGAGCATATCTCAAAATAATAAGAGCTATTTATGACAAAGCCATAGCCAATATTATATTGAATGGGAAAAAACTGGAAGCATTCTCTGTGAAAACCAATACAAGACAAGGATGGCCTCTCTCACCACTCCTATTCAACCTAGTATTGGAAGTTCTGACCAGGGCAATCAGGCAAGAGAAAGAAATAAAGGGTATTCAAATAGGAAGAGAGAAGTCAACTTGTCTCTGTCTGCAGCAACATGATTCTATATTTAGAAAACCACATCATCTCAACCCCAATATTCCTTAAGCTGATAAGCAACTTTAGCCAAGTCTCAGGATACAAAACCAATGTGCAAATATCACAAGCATTCCTTTACACCAACAATAGACAAGCAGAGAGCCAAATCATGAATGAACTCCCATTCACAACTGCTACAAAGAGCATAAAATACCTAGGAATACAGCTAACGAGGGATGTGAAGGATCTTGTCAAGAACTACAAACCACTGCTCAAGGAAATAAGAGAAGACCCAAACAAATGGAAAAAGATTCCATCATCATGGATAGGAAGAATCAATATCATGAAAATGTCCGTACTGCCCAAAATAATTTATAGATTCAATACTATACCCATGAAACTACCATTGACATTCTTCACAGAATTAGAAAAAACTACTTTAAATTTCATATGGGATCAAAGAAGACCTTGTATAGCCAAGACAATCCTGAGCAAAAAGAACAAAGCTGGAGGCATCACACTAGCTGACTTCAAACTATACTACAATACTACAGTAACCGAAACAGGTGGTACTGGTACCAAAACAGACATACAGAACCAATGGAATAGAACACCACACACCTACAACCATCTGATCTTCAACAAACCTGACAAAAACAAACAATGGGGAAAGGATCTCCTATTAAATAAATGGTGCTGGGAAAACTGGCTAGCCATGTGCAGGAAACTGAAACTTGATCCCTTCCTCCTACCTTATACAAAAATTAACTCAAGATGGATTAAAGACTTAAATGTAAAACCCAAAACCATAAAAATCCCTGGAAGAAAATCTAGGCAATGCCATTCAGGACATAGGTATGTGCAAAGACTTCATGACAAATATGCCAAAAGCAATTGCAACAAAAGCCAAGCTTGACAAATGGGATCTAACTAAACTAAAGAGCTTCTGTACAGCAAAAGAAACTATCATCAGAGTGAACAGGCAACCTACAGAATGGGAGAAAATGTTTGCAATCAACCGATCTGACAAAGGTCTAATATCCAGAATTTACAAGGAACTTAAACAAATTTACAAGAAAAAAAACAAAACAAAACAAATACCACCATCAAAAAGTGGGCAAAGGATATGAACAGACACTTTCCAAAAGAAGACATTTATGCAGCCAAGAAACATATGAAAAAAAGCTCAACATCACTGATCATTAGAGAAATGCAAATCAAAACCACAGTAAGATTCCATCTCATGCCAGTCAGAATCGTGATTATTAAAAAGTGAAGAAACAATAGATGCTGGTGAGGCTGTGGAGAAATAGGAATGCTTTTATACTGTTGGTGGGAATGTAAATTGGATCAACCATTGTGGAAGACAGTATGGTGATTCCTCATGGATCTAGAACCAGAAACACCATTTGACCCAGCAATTCCATTACTGGGTATACAGCCAGAGGAATATAAGTCATTCTATTATAAAGACGCATGCACACATATGTTTATTGCAGCACTACTTACAATAGCAAAGTTAGGGAACCAACCCAAACACCCATCAATGATAGACTGGATAAAGAAAATGTGGTACATATAAACCATGGAATACTATGCAGCCATAAAAAGTAATGAGATAATGTCTTTTGCAGGGACATGGATGAAGTTGGAAGCCATTATCCTCAGCAAACTAACACAGGAACAGAAAATCAAACACTGCATGTTCTCACTCATAAGTGGGAGTTGAACAATGAGAACATGTGGACACAGGGAGGGGAATGTCACAAACCAGGGCCTGTTGGGGGGTGGGGGAGGTGAGAGGAGGGAACTTACAGGACGAGTCAATAGACATAGCAAACCACCATGGCATGCGTATACCTATGTAACAAACCTGCATGTTCTGCACATGTATCCGAGAAATTAAAGTAAAATTAAAAACATAAAACAAAATAAGAAGTAAAAATAAATAAATAAAACTTGAACAGACAAGGGGTTACTTTTATGAATGAGCAAAGAAAGTCGTTTCTTGAAATGGAATCTACTCCTGGTGAAGATACACTGAACAGTGTTGAAACGACAACAAAAGATTTAGAATATTATATAAACTTAGTTGCTAAAACAGAAGCAGGGTTTGAGAGGATGGATTCCAATTTTGAAAGTAGTTCTACTGTTCTACTGTGGGTAAAATATCAAACAGGATTTCATGTTACAGAAAAATCTTTCATGCAATGAAGAGTCAACTGATGTTGCAAACTTCACTGTTGTCTTATTTTAAGAAATTGTCACCACTACCCTAATCTTCAGCAATCACTACCCTGAATGGCCAGCAGCCTTTGATATCGAGGCAAGACCCTCTGTGACTTGCTGAAGACTCAGATGATCATTAGCATGTTTTACCAATAAAATATTTTTTATTTAATTTAATTGTAAAATTATGTCTAAAAATAACTGATTTTTAAGACATAAAGCTATTGTACATGTAATGGACTACAGTATAGTGTAATCATAACTTTTACATGCAGTGGGAAACCAAAAAATGTGTATTACTTATGTTTTTTCAATATTCACTGTATTGTGTTGTTCCGGAACCAAATCTGCAATGCTGCTGCGGTATGCCTGTACCTCATATAAGAACAGAGTCATACTATATTTGTCCTTTTATGTCTGGCTTATTTCACTCAGCATAATGTCTTCAAGGTTCCCTCAGGTTGTAGCATGTGTCAAAATTTCATTCTGTTTTAGGGCTAAACAATATTCCATTGTAAGTGTATGCGACATTTTGTATATCCACTCATCCATCGATGGACGTTGGTACACAAGTGTCTGTTCAAGTTCCTGCCTTCTATTCTTTTACGTATATACCATTCTCAGTCTCTTTTGCTGTTTCCTCCAAGTCTCCTCAAAGTCTAAATGCTGGCAATCCCATGTCTCAGATCTCAAACCTCTTTCTTTTACACCTACATTCCTTAAGAGACCTCACCCAGGATTTGAGCCTCAAATGCCCACATTTGTATCTCCAGGGCCAACATCTTCCCTGAACCCCAGACTTGTGTCTAACTGTCCTGACATTATCAGGTAAAAGTCTAGCAGGCATCTCAACATTTAAATATCCAGAACCAAATTCTGGATTTTTTTCTGTTTAAATATGCTCTTCCTTCCTTCTTATCTGAGGACATGGCAACCCAATTCTCCCAATTTTCTGGGCCAAAACACTAATAGTTGTTCTAGAATCTTTTCTTTTGCTCATACTTCACATCCAATACATTATCAAACCCTGTGTCTCTATCTTAAAACATATTCAGATTATGTCACTTTGTTCACCACCTCTCTAGCTACCACCTCAGGCAAAGTTATCATCATCACCCCAGGATATCTGCAGCAGCCATTTAGTTGGTCTGCTTGCTTCTCTCTTTTGTAGTTTACTCCCAACAGCCACCAGTGGAACTTTCAAAAGCTCAGATCCCATCACTTCTGTGCTCAGAACTTTCAGAAGCCTTCCCTCTTCCATCAGAAGAAAAGCCCAAGTCATTTTCATGGCCTAAAAGGTCTGAACTCTACAGTAGCCACATTGGCCTTCCTCTATTCCTGAAATATGCTTTGCTCTTGCTGTATCCCCGGCAAAGAGGAATGCTCTCCCTCACTAAGTTCATGTCTCTACTCATATAACTGCCTCCTATCAAGACACCTTTCCCCACTATGGCTCTGTAAAGCAGCAGACCCCTTCCCAGCACTCATTTTCTCAGGTCTCCGATCCCGCTTTATGCTTCTCAGTGGGACTTATCTGTTATCTGTTTCCCCTACCCCATGAGGTGCTGGAACCTGCTGATAGGTCTACTGGACATGGTGTGTATTGCCTTCCAACTCTTCATTCAATGACATCAGGTTGGTAGCTTGAAATTTGCCTCCATGGAAATAGTTGCCCAAAGGAAGTCAGCCAACACAGCAAATCAGGGATTTCTCTTTCTCTTTCTTTTTCTTTTTTTTTTTTGAGATGGAGTCTCGCTCTGTCGCCCAGGCTGGAGGGCAGTGGTGTGATCTTGGCTCACTGCAATCTCTGCCTCCCAGGTTCATGCCATTCTCCTGCCTCAGCCTCCTGAGTAGCTGGGACTACAGGCGCCTGCCACCATGCCCAGCTAATTTTTTGTATTTTTAGTAGAGACGGGGTTTCACTGTGTTAGCCAGGATGGTCTCGATCTCCTGACCTCGTGATCCGCCCGCCTCAGCCACCCAAAGTGCTGGGATTACAGGCGTGAGCCACTGCGCCCGGCTGATTTCTTTTCTTTTTTAAGACCCAGTTTAAAACTACCACCACTTTCTCACTCTTAAATAAAATGCTATATGACAGCATAGCTGTTTGTCTTTTTGTTCATTGCTGTTTTCCAGCACCTGTAACAGTACCTGGCAGAAAGAGTCACTCAATGACTTCTGTCATTGAATATCAATCAATCAATGAATCAATAAAGAATGAAGTAAAAAAGCTATCATGTTTATGTAGAGATTAGGAAAGAAAAGCCTAATCAATTTTTAAAATTTGATTTTACTCTAATCTACCTTATGTGATTCTGGTGATACTACATACAACCTAGAATTTAATTGCGGCCTAGATATTTACAAAGAATCTACATTAAAATTAATACTACATATCTGAAATAACTGCCCTTTACCAATAGAATAAACTAGTTGTCAGATCAGCATGACAAGCAGTTTATTTTGTGTAACTATAAAAATATTTTTCAATGACATTGCTGCGTGCATTCTTGAGAGCTGGAAGTTGGCAGCACACAGTTTTCATGTACTAAAGTTGGGAGAGCCTCTGTGACCCTGAGGTCGCTCCCTGTGGTGTCCAAAAGCAATCCTAGAATGCTTTTGAGAAGCCACACATAAAGAAGCTTGACACAAGTCTTTAATCCTTTTTGTTGGCATAGTACCTTACCTTGGCTAGAGTGTGACCTTTTTTTTTTTTTTTTTTTTTGGTTCACTTGGTTTGCATGATGAAGGAGGTAAGAAGTTTCAGGTTATGTAAACTTATTCAACATCAGTTTTACAATCTGTAAGGTGGAAAGTCATGGGTGTTTAACTTCTCAATTTAAAAGCTGGAATCAAGGGCTAACGGAACTTACATACCTAAAACCATGTATCCCATGCCCCATTTCATAGATGAGGAAGTAGAGATGCCAGCAGACAGCACAACTTCCTTACGCCTGTTAATGGCAAAGCTGGCACTTGAACCCACATCTCCACTTTCCCCACTTTTCCATACCCCTAAGCACTCAATACATGCTGAGAATCATGAGGCTGAAGAAATGATCTTGTTCAGCATCCTTTTTAAAACTTCTCCGATATGTATTGCCCACAGTAAAAATTACACTTTATGCTGTGACTCAGAACATACAGTCACATACATGAAAAAAGTTTCAAAAAACAACTTTTTCTGTACAAGACAAGATTATTTTCCACTCTTATCAAGTTTATTTTATTTTATGAAAGCTGCACATGAGCCACTGAATGGATCTGATGGGTCAGGAACTACTAATAGATCAGAGGCCGCAGTGATAAACACTTTTTTTAAAAGCAAAGATCTTTTTGAAGTGACGACCCAGAAAGTACATGTACATAGCACAGACAAGATATATATACCACAGCATCTTGCCCTTACGTGTGCTCTACAAACCTGGGAGGGCCGGAAGGAGGGAGAGAGAGAGCAAGAAAAAAAGTAAGCACCTTTTAGATTTCAAAGGATACAGTGTTTTTCTTTTGGTTATTACATTTGGATAAAGATCTCCCAAGTTCTCTCTAATGTGAAATTTTAAAACTGGCAACTTGAACAAAGGTTATATACAGAAAAGAAGATCTGGAATTTCATGTATTGTGTTGGGGGTTGACATTTAAATTCATAAACAGGGTAACACATGGAAGCTTTTCCATTTCCTGTAAATGTTATTTCAAATCACAGCAGGCACAAAAAACAGTTCATTTTCAACCAGATCTTGAATTTTTATGTAATGAGATGCTGTAAAAAACAAAAATAATATGAATATAGAGATAAATATTTGTGGGGTGCCTGGGTATTTTGATAAATATCTGCTTCACAAATGTTCTTCCTTCCTTTATGGTCTATAAGCCCCCGCAGAAAGTCTTGCACTCAATCTGTCCTTTTGTTACATTGCCTTTCTGTCCCCAGTTTCCAAGCTTTCTTCACTTTATCCTGGTATCTTTATACTTTTAATCTACTCTAAGTCCTGTTGCTGCTTTTGTTCTAACCAACTCAATGGTCTAGTTTTCCTCTTGCAGGCCCTACACCTTCTTCTACAAGGTAGTTATACTGTAATCCTGATACAATTCTCTGATAGGCAGCTAGTCTCTCTTTTGGGCCACCCCATATGACACTGTTAGGTGGGGAGGCCAGGAGCTGCCAAGGGTGGTGTGCAGAGGGTAGCATCCAAGGGGAACCTGAAGATGGAAAAGGACCCGGTAATAGTCCGTTCTCACACTGCTATAAAGAACTTCCCAAGATGGTAGTTTACAAAACAAAGAGGTTTAACTGACTCACAGTTTTGCATGGCTGGGGAGGCCTCAGGAAACTTACAATCATGCTGGAAGACGACGGGGAGGCAGGCATCTTCTTCACAAGGAAGCAGGAGAGAGTGAACTCAGGAGGAACTACCAAACACTTATAAAACCATCAGATCTCGTGAGAACTCACTCACTTTCACGAGAACAGCATGGGAACTGCCCCCATGATTCAATTACCTCCACCTGGTCTCTCCCTCGACACATGGGGATGATGGGAATTACAATTCAAGATGAGATTTTGGGTGGGGACACAGCCAAGCCATATCAGAACCCCTACCAGAACCTTGCATGGCATACTGATGAAAAAAAGAGGCACCTAGTCCTTGGTGACATTAACTGAGCAGTGGAATGAAACTTCACCTGAACCTGGCAATTCCGCTGAAATTTTCAATACATTCCAGTCATTTTCAATAAATTATATTTTTATTTGTCCAATTTGAGCTGAGGTTTTCTCTGGAAATTTGAAGATTTTAAACTGATAGTAATAGCAACTTCTTTCTTGCCTGTCAATCCACAACCCCCTTTGAGATAAGCCCCTCCTCTGATCCCTTTTGCTGACATAAACATTTCCAAATTAAGTGAGTGAAATGAAAAGTGGCTTTCTACAATTCTGACTTGAATTTTTTAGTGATAACAAAAGCAACAATGTTACTACCAACAATATTGGCTAATATTTAGTAAGTACTTATTGTACACCAAGAGTAAGTTAAGGCAGTGGTGCTCAAATTTTGCTGCAAATTTGTTTTTCAAATCCATCATGCCCACACCACACCTGTATCAATTTGATTCTTATGGTACCAGCATTTCTGGAGGCGGAAAACACACATCAGCATTTTTGAAAGTTTCCCAGGTAATTCCATGAGCAATTAAATTTGAGAACTCCTGTGCTAAAGGTTTCCTAATGAATTATTTCATTTAATCCTTATAGCAACCATTTCAAGTACTTATTATTATCATTATCTTCACCATTTAGCCAACAAGGAAGAAGCTGGAGTCTCAGGAAAGCCACACAGGTAATGTTTAATAGAACCAGGCTTTGAAAATATTAGAGGAGAGTGAGGTTCTTGAACATCAGCAATAAATAGGAGGGAAAAAAAGGAAGCCAGGAGCATAGATAATTCAAAGAGGAAGTAATCAGTCCCTCCAAGAAAGAGCTGATGGAGAAAAGCTGACAAAGTCAGAGTATTCTAAGTGTTAAAAATCCATCCTCACGAGAAGCATTTGAGGATCTAACAGTGGTTTATCAGCTGAGCACAGTACAGGCCCTACTGCTGTTCATTTGTCACTGTTCAGTAGACATTTATCAAACCACATCCATAAACGAAACACTTAACTGATAAGCAAGCTGTGTACCGCAATAAAAGAGACAGATTCAAGCCTGAAAGAAACCCTCCATGTGGCAGCAGAATTCACTTTGACTCCCAATGCCTGGGGACAAACAGGGCTCTGATGCAGTGTCGGCAACTGTCTTTAAAACTAATATCGATATTGAAATTGCAAGTTAGGCCAATAAACTTAGGTTCAAAGATAAATTTCATAGCTGCATTATCAATATAGTTCTTGGAACTAACAGGCTTATATGAAATTTGGCTGAAATGTTGTTGGGGGAAGAAGAAAAAATATTCTTTCCTATACTAAAAACTGTGAGCAATTTTGAATCATCAACAAAGCATTAATTATAGTAAGTCTGATACAAAACTGAGAGGCTAAACTATTGAAATTCCATGTTACTAAGGAGATAAATGTAAATAACAGATTAGTTTCATATGAAACACTTATAGAAGCCTTCTTGAATACAGTTCTAATTTTTCTTTCAAAAATCTTTGTTTTTTACATTTTACCATAGATCATTTTAACCCTTTCAGCAAATAAAATAAAAATTAAAAAATTAAAAAACCCAGCAGCCGTGTGTTTGCTGTGTCATAGAATATGCTGGCACCTACTGCCTTTTTACGCCTCTGAAGAATAATTATTCCAGGTGATTTTTTTTTCTTGCATCTCCAAAGCAACAGATCATTTTAATGTCAGAGAAAGAATTTTGACTTTTAAAAGATAAAACAAAAGTTGTGGGAAGACACTCAAATAGAAAATAGCTAGTTTTATATCAAGTATGGAAAGACGCATTGAGCTCCTAAATGGCAACTGTACTTCTATGTTTGCCAATACCCTCTCTGCCAGAAATGAAGTATGTAAAGTACTAAATTTTAAATAAAATGAAGAATAGCTTTTAACTTTGATGGCAAGACAACATATCCTGCTACTATATCCTACCAGATCATCTAAGCTTAAAAAATTATGTTCTTCATCCAATATTTAAAAATTATCTTCAAAAAATAAACAGACTGCAAACACTTCTTTGAATATTTCTTCAGTAAGTTTTTCAAACCAAAACAAATGACACTGCACACAATTCATCCCAAAGTATGCTGATCTTTACTAGTAACATTTGCAGAATTAAGACTATACACCTTTTGGCATTGTGGATGGAATCATTTCAATTGCAGAGCATTTCAGCTATATGGGAGTTCTATTCATCATGTCTAACGGTTAGTTCCCATATGTTTACGAGGTTCAAAGATTTTTTCAAATAATTTCAAGTACTTTTTAATCATTTAGAATTACCCAGTAACTTGGGCATTGTTGTCGTTGTCTTTTTTTTTCAAACAAAGGCAAAATTAGAGGACATAAAGCAAGCCCCTCTGTCCAAGAGCCCACATATTTGTTCATTGTTTCCGTCTTTTAATAAAAGTGAAAGTGTTTAGGGCATACTGGCTATTGTGTTTTACAACATCTATAACATAGAAACTTTTAATTGGGGCAATTAATTGATATTGTGACACAGCCAAACAATCAAGGCAGCATCTGGTGCATGCACAACACTCAACCTCCTACCTTGGGAGCTTTGGCGTGTCTCCCACATCTGGCATCTTTGACAAGGCTGAGATCCAGTAGCTCTGTCTCCTGGAAGGCAAAAACGTGAAATCGTTAAGCAACGACACAGACCTTTCCTCTTTGTTTTATGTCATTGACATCACTTAAAAAAATTATCTTGAGACTTGACTGAAGACTTCTCTGCAGTTGGGATATTTCTTTCCTCTTATATCACTTCTCAATTGAATTAGGTTGGAAACAAAAGACAGCTAACTGCTAACTGCTCAGTTATACATTTTGAAAGCAAAAAGTGTGTGGTTATGTCCCCAGTCTATCCTACAAGCCATTCCTAAATCATGATGAATCAGGTCTTCTTGTTCTTACTTTTGAATATAATCCTGGGAGTCACTGAGCGTAGGTGAGGGTATGAGGGTATGTCGGTAGAGAGAAAGATTAGGGAGGAGGACGGAGTGGGATGCTCCCATCGGCTCACATACATACCCAGCTTATCTGGCCAAGGCAGAGATACGAATCTGCCTCTGACAGCCCCCAGCCTTTTGCACACATACCTCATGCCCTGATCTTTTCACTTAATCATTACCCATCATTGAACACCTGTAATACACAAGTTACTCTAGGGAATAAGGCATAGAAGATATGATTGCTTTCCTGGATGGACCTGTCATCAAATAGGAGTGTAAAGAAATGTATATGTGTAAGACAAGGGGGAATGTGTTAATGCCAATTTTAAAGTTGACTACTATGGTTGGGGGGCAGCAAAGAAAACACAGTTTTTTTCCTAGGGGCTCAGAGAAAAGTTTATGAGAAATCATTAAGCTTGGAAAAAAAGAAGTTGGGGAGGGGTTCCTCCCAGTTGGAGGGGAAAATATGAGCAAATGCCTAGATGAGAAAGGGCCAGAGGTTTTGGCTGAACCTTGAGGTGTTCGTGGCCTTTAGACACTTAGAGACAGAGAACATTGCGGGGAAAGGAGGTAGGGAGAAGGATAGAGAAGCATCCAGGAGGGAAGAACTGCAAAGGTGCAGGTACAGTGGTATTGTAGAAGGATGGAAGCGGATTCACGTGGGAGGACATTCAATATTCCATTGGCTAGGCCACAGAACATGTGACAAGAAGTCATGAGAGATGACATCAGAAAGGAATATGGCCAAAGAATGGAAACCCTAAATGTCTGGCTAAGGAGACTGAGCCATGAGGTTTGTGACACACACAGGTTGCTGCATTAGACAGTGGACTCTACCACCAGCCAGGTAGGACTGTGGTGCAGTGAGCAGTTGTCTTAAAGTGACTCCAGATGTCCTAACTATGATTCCTGGGCAATGAGCAAGTTGGATGGAGCATCGAATCCCCTTCTCCCGGAAGGAGGCACTGCATCCTAATTCAGCTGCCAATAGAACCTCTGGATAGGAGTGGCTGTAACTTCTTAAAGGCCAAGCTCCCTAAGAACCAGCACCTTTTGCTCTTAGTCAACTTCTTCAAACAGCTGCTGCCAGTTCCAAATGTCTGGTGCAAACTGGTCTGATTATTTTTCTGCACCTAAGATTGCCTTGTAGTAAAGGCCAAATTAAAGGTGAAGTCTCACTCCTCGAATGCAAACCCACACAGAAGGTCCAACAGAACTCCTGACACACCTCTCTGTGAGATGAAGGGTGGACAGGAAACAGTGGGTCTCTGCTCTTGCTCACTCTGACCTTGTAAGTTTCATTTTCCCCATTTTAGAGGGTTCCTTAGCCCATTTCATGCTGTGTCTGACCCTGTGGAAATTCTCCCAAACCCCTGGGGTGTGACAGGTGGCAACCCAGCAAGGAATTTGCAATACAGAGTGACTGGTGCCACAGTTCCCCGAAGGCCACACCATCCACAATATTGGAGGTTACCTTATGAGTGTTAGAAAACAATGGTCTCAACCATGTTCAATGCTTCACTTCAGAAAATGCACATTATAGAACCCTCTGTGAAGAAACGGTGGAAAAACCAGACATGAGTAAGTCAAGCATATGTCCAGGTTTCTTCATCTCTACAGCAATGACAACCAAAATATTTGCTGGAAGAGGAGAAACAGTAAGGGAATCAAGCTTGAAGAAGTTTAATCTAGAAGATGGGAAATAAGTGGAGATCTGAGAGGTGAAAGATGAGAGACAAAATGAAGGTAAGTAATTGGAAGAAAGAGGAGAGAGATGGCAATGGAGGAACTGACTGAAGGAAAGAGGGAAGTCATAAAACACGCTGCAGTTTCCACCTTTCCTACACTGAGACTCAGAAGTTTGGGCAAAATGATAGTGCATTCTGGAGATGTTGGTTTGAGGGGTTTATCCAAGTGAAAATGCCAGTAATTAATTCACTGGAGCATTATTTATTGAATGCCTACAATGTATCAGGTATACACTAGTACTGAGAAACTAAAACATACAAAGATAAGATCCCAGTTTCGATGAGTTCACAAGCAAGTCAAATATTATATGCTAAAGGAAATATTTCAAAGTGCCCTACAGACATTGGCTACAGAGAGCTATGGCATGATTTCAGCCAGTACACAAGGATGAGACAGAGTTTGCCAGCCTTATAACTGTGTGATCGGGGTGGGAGGGTGGGTGGTGGTTTCAGAGAGAGGAAATTGCGGGTAGAAACTCACAGAAGCAGGAATTGTGTGCAGAAAACTACAACCCACTTAGGATATGTCACAGAGGTATATGGAGCATTAGCAACAATCACTTTGGGATTTAGTGGTCATTACATGGGTGTTCTCTTTATAATTATTTATAAAACACTAACATTTACATTTGATGTAATTTTCCATATATGTTGCATGATGTTTTACATCTATATAGGATAAAAATATATCTCTCACACACAGTATTTTTACCTAATCAATAGTAATATTTTCTTTTATTTTTTCTTTTTCTTTTTTTTTTTTTTTTTTTTTTGAGAGACAGAGTCTCACTCCATCACCCAGGCTAAAGTGCAGTGGTGCAATCTCAACTCACTGCAACTTCTACCTCCCGGGTTCAAGTGATTCTCGTGCCTCAGCCCTCGAGTAGCTGAAATTACAGGCACACACCACAATGCTCTGCTAATTTTTGTATTTTTAGTACATACGGCATTTTGCTATGTTGGCCAGGCTGGTCTCAAACTCCAGACCTCAAGTGATCCACTCGCCTCGGGCTCCCAAAGTGCTGGGATTGCAGGCATGAGCCACCGTGCCCGGCCCGTAATATTTTCTATTTAAGGAAATTCCTCCCAATTGAAGAAACAATAGACTTAAACATAACTTGTTTGATTATATACGCAAAGCCCAAATTGAATTAACAAAGAACTAGATCTTAGCAGGCATCATTATATAGACTTTTGCATTACAGATAATGAACTCTGTATTCCACTTCCAGGATTCATTCCCCAAGCCACGGAAGGGTAGTTAACGCCAACTGTGTGCATGAAAACCACCGCAGGGCACTGTCATCAAGGGTAATGTGGCGTGGGGAAGACCTGGGTGGAAATGCCGTCCATGAACTCATTTGGCTACAAAGCGATGATTCAAATAGTGTCTCCCACTTCTATTAACATACCACAGCCACCCCTCTGGAGTTTAACTGCATCCCTTTCTCTCTGCCACTAAAAAGAAAATGAGGAACCCAATGCATGACCACAAAAGTGTTTCTTGTATCATTAAAACTTTTTCTAGGTTAATTTTCTCGTGACAATAGTTTTAACAACTCATTACAATAAAGCAGTGAAATGGTCCCTTTCTGCCCTTCCTCAGTTTAAGAGTTTCTGTTTTCCAGCTTTGTGGAATTCATTATTTCTTTACTCCTTTCTTTGAGAGAGAGACTACAGAGTGTATATTGCAGAAAACTTGGGTTTGAGTGAGGACCTTAAAATTAATTATTCATGTATTTAGTCAATAACTTTACCACACTGAGCATCAATTTTTTCATCTATTAAATGGGTATGATCATACCTTCCGTATCAGTGGCTCTCCAACTGTAGCCTGCATTACAGTCACCTGAAAAGCTTAGTAAAATACAGATTTGCTCCGTGTCACCTGTCAGACTTTCTGATTCCGTGAGTCTGAGGCAGGCCTGAGAATCTGCATCTCAAATAAACCTCCAGGTGATGCTGACGTTGCTGGTCCAATGACCACACTTTGAGAAGCACTAATTATATACTCACTCATGTTGTTATAAGGCCTTTCATGTGAATATCATTGATAAAGCAATACATTACTTTTGTTAATATGAAGAATCTATAACTATCATTTCTTTATATTGGGAACTTTCAAATAAAAATATTACACTTACTGAATGTAAAAGTGTGCCTAGTGGTGAGAGTTAGCTGAAGAAAAAACTATTGAATGACAAATGCCATCGACTGCTATTTTAATAATTTCTCTTTAGGATTAAATCATATTCTATCCAAGCAAATGTCCTAGGTGTTCAGAAACTCAAGCAACAATTGAAATCGTTTTGTTTGTCACAGATGTTCTCCCATAGAACCTTTGCATTATACTTCATAACATTAGATACATCTTTAGAAAAGTGGAATAAAGAAATTAAAATTTGTTCTCTCTAACCTTGAAGTCCATCCAACAATGAGAAAGGAATTGAAGTGCCTAAAGTCACATAACCTACCGGAATCATTAAAGGAGGCATGTACTAAAAGAACCTACCGGAATCATTAAACGAGGCATGTACTAAAAGAACCCTTTATTTCCAAGGCCATTAATGACACCCTGCAAAGCTTGGAGATCACACTCTTAGGACCTCAGATGCATCCACTGATGCATTGATGGATATGCCCTCTCTTTTTGTCAGTATGGATAAAAATGAATTAACAGCATGGATAAAAGTGAATTAACAGTAATATTACAATAATATTGTAACTGTCTATTGACATGGGGTTTCACCACTTGGTGTGAATCCCTCGACAAAAGACCTTGGACTTTTATCTCTGTTTGTACAGTGTTTAACATAAAGTTCAGCACACAGGCTGTATTTCATCCTGGTTTGTGAATGAACGACACCCTGCTGAAGATGTTAATTATCAAACTCAGGAAGAAATACAATTTAAAACTCAGCTCTTTCCAGAATCCCAATTTCTGTGCATTGTTAGTGTGGTAAAGTTATTGACTGAATACATGAATAATTAATTTTAGGGTCTTCACTCAAACCCAAGTTTTCCACATATATACCCTGTGATCTCTCTTTCAAAGAAAGTCGTAAAGAAATAATGAATTCCACAAAGCTGGAAAACAGAAACTCTTAAACTCTTAAACAAACTGAGGTATTGGGTATTTAACAAAATACTCAAAACCCATTATTACTAATTAATGGGTTTTGGGTATTTAACAAAAATATTTTGAATGAGTGACGAGAAAGCAGGCAAGCTAAGAGAAGACTGAATTGTCTTGGTTGTTTACTATTTAGCAGAGAGATTTCAATCCATCAGCCATAAGCATACTGTGTGGTAGATGAGACATGAAATCCACTTCAAACTGAGGAGGAAATACAGTTTAAAACTCAACTCTTTCCAGAATCCCAATTTCTGTGCATTGTTATTGAATTCCATTAGTCACCCAATATAATAATGTGTTTCAGGTTCACACAGTATATAATCAGAACAGCAATTACAGTCATAAACATTTCACAGAGAAGATATTAATGGCTGGGTGTGTGCATTGTGATTATGTATATCTCCACATACATGTGTGGTATAGTCATTAAGTTGGTCTATTTTGATTTACCAAAAGTAGAATACATTAATATATTTTACTGACTGCCAAACCTCCTTAAAATGCACAATTTTTTTAAAAAAATGATTTTAGAGTATTTTAACAAATAGTTTTCATTTAACAAGAAGCAGATGGACTTAGACTCAATTCTTTGTTCCTTAACTTTATTCCACTTCTGAGGGGGTGAAAAATCTGTGCAATGTACCTCTCAAAGAAATCTCTGCACCGTCTGCCACCTGGTCTCTCTTTTCCTTTGTTTCCTAGGCATGATTTTCATCTTTATTTCCACAACTTTCAGTGGAGACCCACAGTAAGAAACACCAATGGAAATGAGAGGTATAGGTCATCAATAAGAACCAAGGCAGAGAAAAGAGAAAGATGACACATCTGGCTTTCTTTATTTAAACACACTTAGATTTAATATAGTGCAAATTTCATAGAAGTAGGAGGCAGAAAATGTAAGTTCTTCCCTCAAATTATCACTTGTTATCAATGTAGCATTAAACAAGTTGCTACAGATGCTCATGCATGCCTTGTATCCTCATCTGTCAAACACAGGTGCAGATGCCAGCAACATCTCCCTCGTTCGGCTGCTGCTAAACCAACTGAAATATTAAATTAAGATCTCCACTTAGCAAGCAGCGAGTACTGAATATATAGAAATTCTTATGCTTGCAAGATTTCCCATTCTAAGTGAAAGGGGAAAGATCCTAGCAGAAAAGTTAAAAGTTGTTAGGTAAAGCATCTAGAAGAAACACAAGGAATGTAAATAAACAAAGAAAAAGAAAAAGATCTGAAAACCTGGAACTCTATAGCTACTTCATAAAAACTTAAAACCTAAGTAATAGAGAAAACTTCTAGAGAAACTAATTTTCACTTTTATGTGTTATAGGTAAATGAAAAATAGGATCAACCTTTGAAATGGGACAAGCAATGAAAACGTTCATGTGTTACAGGTTGTATTGTAACTGTCAATTGACATGGGGTTTCACCACTTGGTGTGAATCCCTCGACAAAAAGACCTTGGACTTTTATCCTGATTTGTATAGTGTTTGACATAAAGTTCAGCACAGAGGCTGTATTTCATCCTGGTTTATGAATGAATGACACCCTGCTGAAGATGTTAGGTATTTCAGACTTTGGACCTAACAGGAACACAGTACATAAAATACAAGTCAGACTCATCTTTACCCAGAAAACCAACAAGATGCCTTATTTTTGCAAGCAACCTAGGGACACTGAAAGTTCATTAATACAGCAGTTGGAATTACCTTCCATGCTCTCATGCTCTCATAAATATCATAGCATAAATTGGGGAAAAAGTGGGTGATCCAATGCCTGCGGATATTATCGGTTCCATTCTCCAGTCTGAATGTTATCCCTGGACCTACTTCCAAAGTATTTGGCCCAATGTTATTGGCAAGTATATGAATGCGGCAGATAATGTGGAAGATAACTTTTCATTTTTAATTTATTTCCTTGCTTCCTTCATTGTCCCATTGCCTGTCCTAGGGAGATAAGGAATCCACCAAGGTCTGGAGTTCATGCATTCTTCCGGGAGCCAAGGTCAGTATACAGGAAGATACCGAACCAAAAAAACCCAGACAATCTCTCTTAATGCACTTTTTAATCTAAAGAGTCTGCTCGGTACAAATAAAATAAAAACTGAGAAATTATTATTGATGAGATTAAAGGTTCCCACACTAAAGGTGGCAAAGTCAAATAATATCCTTAATAATAACAGCAATAATAATCGTATGTATTTATAATGGAGAACCAGCATACCAAGAATTGTAAAACAAAATTTGCATGTATTATCTCATTAGTCTTTGCAATAATACTGTCACCTAATTATCATATTTCTCTGTTTTGCAGATGAGAAAACTAACAGAGATAGTTATGACTACTATTGACTACTGTTGGTCAACTGCACAATTTCCTCACAAATCTCTGCATTTTTGCCTACCTTTGGTGGGCAGAACTCTAAGATGGCCACACTCATGTGGGTCTCCTGGTTTCCATGCCTTTGTGTAATCCCCTCCCTCTGAGTGTGAGAGGGACCTGCAGCTGTCTTCTAACCAATACAATATGGCAAAGGTGCTGGGCTATCACTCCCACCATTATGTTATGTAATACAGCAAGAGTGAGTGAATTTTGAGGTGTAATTAAGGTTCCCAATCAGACAACATAAAGTTAGCCAAAAGAGAGATATCTTGGGTAGGCCATTCAAAAGAGGGTTTAGAAGCAAGAGACTTGAAGCAGCAGAGACACTAATCTGCTGGCTGTGCTGTGTACTGACTATGGAGAAGAAGACCTCCAGGAGATAAGAGCATCAGTTCTACCACCACAAGGAACTGAATTCTGGCAACAACCTAAATGAGCTTGGAAGAGGAATTTGAGCTCCAGATGAGAACACAGCCCAGGAGACATCTTGATTTCAGCCTTAGGATACCCTAAGCAGGTGAGACCCTGACCCACTGAAACTGTGAGATAATAAATGTTTGTTGTTTTAAGCCATTAAGTTGTGGTAGTCTGTTATGAAGCAATAGATAACTAATACACTAACCCCATTGTTTCCAAGTTCTAATGCAACTAATTAAAAAGGAATGAAAATGAATTTACGTATCTTGGCACTCCACCCACCCTGCATAAAAATGACTGCAATGCTGTCACCATTATTGAATGTGCCCAAACAGAAACAATTACTATAATAGAATCATAGTAACTGGGAACAGAAAGAGAACACAGATGAGGAAACTAAGTCCCAGAGAAAATATGTTAATTGCCCAGGATCATTGACCCTATGTACATAATAGAAAAAGTAATCCACATATCCCCAAACTTACTTTTTTCTAAAAATTTTGGATATTGATAAGGTAGCAGGAGTATTGTGTAACATAAATGAAAGAAAACCACTTAAGTCTTTTTTCACGTATATGAAAAAATAATCATGATAAATAAATATAACACTAGTTTTCAGAGGCTGTGTCTGCACAAGGCAATGTGAACTATATCAGCAGATATGCAGTTAATTTATTCCTTGCAGATTGCCAGGTGAGATAGTTTGGTGGCTGGTTGTGCAATAGCCAAATATTCTCATTCTTACTTCCTTCTTCAGCAACCTTAGAAACTCCTACACGCTCATCTAAGAGTAAAACACTTCCAAAGTTGAAAGTTAAATGCAGCTAAACATAAAATTATATGTATAGCACCACGGCTTTATTAAGAGGTAAAATGAATAAAACTTAATTGTAACAGTATTTATGGTATAGTTGCATGCATCTATGACTCTGAGGGAAGAAACTGCCACACTTGCTTCTGGATTCTAGGAAACATTATATTAAGAGATATATTTTTGTAATTTCTTTCAAATGATGAATGAAAAACAGGTCAGATTTAACATGCTAGTAACTGCCTTCATTTTAACGAGATGTCAACTTATTAGGTTGACATTAAAAACCTGAGAAAAAGTTCCATAATCACCATGGATAATCTATATATATTTAAAGATGAATAATTTCAGAAATATATTGGCTCTTTATAGCACGTGTTTTATTTTTCCAGTTCTTATATATTACAGGCTTCTCACAGAGGAATTCTCCACATCTTTATGGATGAAGAATGAATGATGTTGCATGTATTCAGAACTCAGAGTTAAAAAAAATCACAACTATGATGATAAAGATGGCATTGTTACAATTTTCTATTACTGCCTGTGATAAGCTAAATTCCTCATTTCAGACTAATCAGATTAACTAGAAACAGCATCCATCATTTTGCAAATAGTTTCATAAGTGCTAAAAACTATCTTCCTGAATATTTTGGGTGAGCATAGAATCTGATTTTCATAAAAGGTCTTTTGATAAGAAATATGGAATGATATAGATTCATCAGGCAAACAAGCTGTTTCCACTTGAAAACTCCAGATGATATAAATGTAGCCAGATTTCCCCTTTGAATCATCTAAAATGTTATCTCTGGTTTACACCTATTTCACTGTGGCTGAACAGCCAGCCAAGTTTTTTTAACTGGCAGTGCAAACTACTCCCTCAATCTTACCTTAATATAATATTTGAATCCATCACTTATCTGCTTATAGGACTTAAATGCCTTCATTTCTCCACACCAGTGGTTCTCCAAGTGTGGTCCTTTGACCTATGGCATCATCATCATTTGGGAACAAGTGAAAAATGCAAATTCTCTGGTTCAACTCTAGGCCTACTAAATTAGAAACTCTGGGGTGGCCCGACAATCTGTGCTGGGTGATTCACCTCCCAGTGATTCAGATGCAATCTGAAGTTTGAGAATCTCTGCCCTAGATATTAAATGAAGACAATGGCTGCCCACAGAGAAGGCTAATTAGGTCTAGAACGGGTAGGGCATTCTGACACTTGGACAGGCTTCCTACATCCAGTTATAAAGTAGCTGCATCAGAATTCTAAGAGCAATGAGAAAACTACTAATAAAACTGAGAAGTCTTCTTCAGACTACTGTGCTTATCAGTAGCTCTAATATCACTGTAGATTAAAGCAGCAATTTCCACATTGGGCCCTAGAGGCCAGACTGTGTCAAGGAGAGGTTCTAAAAATGCTCGGCTGATTTCCACATGTTTTGATTCAGCCCTGTGCATGATACATTTGAGTGAGTAACCAACGTATTTTCTCAACCAACGTATTTTCTTTTCTCTCTCATCACACAGTATGGCATATCTGGTGACTTCCATATTTTCTGAAGTATAGATAGACGGCATTTATCCTTGCTTTACCTTAGTAGCTGATTGGTTATATCCATCTGGATAGTCTCATTTTCTCCAGTTATTTATTCCAAAATGTATCACAATTTTTTTTCTGCCAAAGGTTTGCATTTTGATGACCTTTTCCTCTCATAAGACATTGTGAATATGTAATGAGTTAATCTATTTTCCAAAATGAGATATTTTAAGTTGACAAGTGTGGTCTTTTTTCCCCTCCCTTTCAAAGAAGATTTGCTTCTTAACATTGCTTTTGGCTTTCTGGCAAGACAGACGGAATTCAACCAAATCTTTTCCGATGCTAATTTGTGGGGGTAGGAGCTGGATATGTCTAAAAGGGAACATCATGCTTAATGAATTTTCCTGAGAAGAACATTCACTGAGTCAATCAATAAATCAGCCCAAAGGTTTTGCCTAAGTGCGTAAATTTTACCAGAAAGGAACTCTCCTTTTCATTCGACTGTTGATCAATCTCAACACTAATGTATGTACACAAAACGAAGCTAGCTGTTCATATTAAGAACTATGAATGATTGAAAAAAAATCAATGTAGAGCCATTTTCCAATTACTCAGGAAGTTTGCCTAAAGCTCCTGCAGGAACCTCTATTGATACTAGCCTGGTTCCCTGCTAGGCTCCCTTACTGGCTAGACACCCATCCCCCAGCGTCTATCAGCTTTATTCCAAACAAGTGACACTTGCAGCCTTTGACTACCTTTGGCTTCTTGGAGCTACTTCACTCAGATGTGTAGAGAGCAGGAAGTGCCTGAGATGCTAGATCTCCCCAGAGAGCTGATAGTTCATGTCTGACAGATGCAGGAGAAGCAACTCGAGGTGTAATTTGTGCTCTGCAGCTTTCAGTAGCTTAGGTTGAGGTTGGGACTTCACCTGAAAGCTCACCCTTACTTAACTCTTCTCCATCCATGTCTTGCTTCCTCCACTCTCTTACTGATGTCTCCTGGAAGTAGCTTCCTTAATAAATCACTTGTATACAACCCCTTGCATCTGGGTTTGTTCAGAGAACAGGATCCAAATAGCTATCATTTGCAAATAATCAACTTAGAAAATAACGTTAAACTTGAAATTATTCTGAATCACATATTACTATTTTTAAACTCATATTTTTATATTACTTACTTTTTTGGCTTTAGATATATTTCTGTATGTTTTTGGAATCTTTCAAAAATGTCCTCGAAAATAGTTTTCATCATTATACCCACTAAATATGAGCATTCGAGACTAGGGGTTCTCAGTCACAATACGCCACATTTTATCTTATGTCATCTTAATCAGGTTTTAAAATATAGTGAGTACTACTGGGAAAACATATGCATAAATACCCTGTAATCTAACGTGCAAATGGTTTTCCCAAAAGCTTTTTCTCATCATCACGTGAGAGACAGTGCCTGATTTTAAAAAAGAAATATTCCTTACTAAAAATAAATAAATAAAAGCTATGAAAAACATCAGTTTACCTAATCTCCAAATCAGAGTTCATTTTTGTCATACCCATAGCTAAAAAGAAATATGTTCATATTCTCTTTATTTTACTTTCTTCTTGGTAAAGGTTTATTCTATTTTCTACCCCCTACTCTGACTTTCCTTTCATTAAAATAATAAAAAAACTATCCATAACAGAATATATAAAGCTCTACTCCAAAGTTGATAAACATAATTCATTTTATCATTTCATTAAAACCTCACTTAAAAATGAATAAGGATAATTTTTAAAAAGATCCTATGTGAATAACATTTTTTCTAGGAATTTTCACAAACACTATTAATTTAGTATTACTACCTCTTTATGAACAGAGAGGGAGTAAGTAAAAAGCAATCACTGTCAGACCAAAAGTGGGATGGGGACAGATTTAAAAAAAAAATTGTGTAAAAACTCTTTTACAAGGCCTTATGTTTACTACTATTGCTGCTTCAGAACAGTAGGTTGAAACAAAATACAGAAGAACAACTAATAGAAGACATCTGTCTTCTTCCAACACATCCTTGACTTGACCTTCATGAGAAACAAGTTAATTCTTAAATTTACTCCCTTCATTAAAAAGCCTGAAAGGTGGAAGCACAGTGCAGTTTATTGCAATATGTTGGTGAGAAGCACAGAATCTTTAAAAAAGTTAAAGGATGAGAAACAGAAAATGAGTAGATAAGAAGAGACAGCATTAAGGCAAGAGAATGTTAGTGCAAGTGGCAGAGAATCCAAACATATTGCATACAATTGCACCCTGAAGACAAAGTACATAAATGAAACAGGTTATTGGGATAATGCAAAAAATAAAAGCGAAAACATTTAAGAGGGACTTTTTCCTATTATGTTCTATATTTTTCTGTTACATATCAAAAATATTTCTAAAGAGAACGGAAGGAAGGAATAAAGGGAGAGGAGGAAGGAAGCAAGATGGGGCAGGGTAGGACACGCCGGGCTCGGTGGCTCACGCCTGTAATCCCAGCACTTGGGGAGGCCAAGGTGGGTGGATCACCTGAGGTCAGGAGTTCAAGACTAGCCTGGCCAACATGGTGAAACCCCATCTGTACAAAAATACAAAAATAATTAGCCGGGCATGTTGGAGGGTGCCTGGAATCCCAGCTACTCGGGAGGCTGACGTGGAAGAATCGCTCGAACCCGGGAGGCGGAGGTTGCAATGAGCCGAGATCATGCCATTGCACTCCAGCCTGGGCGACAGAGTGAGACTCTGTCTCAAAAACAAAAAAGTTGGGGCAGGACAAACCATGGGCCATGCCACCACGGTAGCTCTGCAAGCTTATGGCCCTGGAGTACAAGGAAAGCAGGTATGCTAGGTTCAACCCAAAGGCTTGCTGTTATTGGGCAAAAGTCAGGGCAAGATGGAGAAATAACAGTGTAAACTGGGAAAGGGACAAGAGGCAGCAGGCTGGCAGGGCCACCTCCCTGGCAGGCCTATCATGAAGGCTTGCTGTTTGATGATGAAGACAGTTGTGACAACATTATCCCCTAAAAATTCACTCTGAAGGTGCTCAGTGGTGCACTTGACCTTGAGTTTCTGCACATGCTTAGGCATGAACTTTACCTTGTCAAGGCAGAAGAACACTCCAAGAACAGAGAAGCCATAGAATGCTGCCAGAAAGAAAACCACAAAAGAAAACAGTCCTTGGATGACTTTTCTGAAATATTAAATTGGGCGATGAACTAAGAAACATTTGACAGTGCAAGAGTTCTCAAATAAAACTGCCATCAGCAGAACGCAGGGCAGAATTTCTTTGAATCCTTTTCTTCCTTCAAATCCAGACATTCTCATTTTTTTCTTTTTTCTTTCTTTTTTTCCTTTTTTATTTTGTAAAGACAAGGTCTCACTATGTTGCTCAGGCTGATCTTGAACTCCTGGGCTCAAGGGATCCTCCTCGCTCGGCCCCCCCAGAGTGCTGGGATTACAGGTGTAAGCCACCACACCCAGCCAACATTCTTATTTTTATGCTTCCTTTGTAAATATAGTGGAGAAAAAAAATCACTGTATTAGGATTTCTCACCAAGGGCAAGATAGTCATATGAAATAGTCCTTAGCTTCTTTAGTTGCTTGAATATTACCTCCCTGGTCTGTGAGGTATCTTTTTGCTTCAGATCATTTCCTCAAAGAAACACATTATTGGTTAATATCATTGTTCACCTTTTGAAGTTGGGTCCTATATGCTGATTCCGGGTAGCCCCAGACTTTCAAAAAAGAACCCACTGTGACTTTTATTCATTCATTCCACAATTTGTAATGTTATGATAAAACACTTTATCCTCTACAGTTTAGAAAAACTGAATTTCATTATCTTTTTTGAAGCTTAAATATTGACCAGGGTCACCATCCCTGGGTGTATAATTTTTCTTAATAAATAATTCATAAATCCTTAACATAGGTTTTGAGCACCCAAGAAGATAGATCGCTTTTTCATTATTGCACAATATATTTCTTCTTGCTCAGATGAAAGTAAAACCTAAAAATAAATCTTCCTCCAAATTACTTCCTCTGTATTAAGAAAGTAAATACCCAGGAAATTTTTTTGAAAATCCACTTAGCTCAGGCCCTGAACTCATATTTAGTGCTTTTCCTTAAAGTCTTCCATAATTTTCTTATTTTCCTTAATATCTTTGCAACGTATTCTCTGTATACCTTTAGCCTAACCACTGCTATCCCTCTAATAATTCATAGGTCTCCTTATAGGCCCCATCGTAAAAACCTACTGTGTTTCACAACCTAGCTTATTTGGGTTTTCAATTTCAAGTCAGATAAATCACATTTGCTCTATGTGGGTCAGTCAAAATTAAGTACAGAAGACTCTATGTACCAAAATTGGTGCTATTATGCCGTATGATTATGGAATTAAATTAACCTGAGTCTTAAGCACTGTATGTCTTTCGGCATTATTTTTTTTTAAACATAAAAGCTGGGACACATCAAGTAGTCCAACCTCAGAGAAACCGCGTAGATTTGATACCTTCCTCCTTACCTTCTTCAGCATCATTTTATAGAAAAATCAGTGGTTTTCAAAGTATGGTCCCTGGACCAGCAGCATCACATCATCTGGTTACTCGCTAGAAACACAAATTCCTGGCCCACATCCCAGACTTTCTGAACTGAAAACTCCAGAGGTTGGGACCTAGCAATCTGCATTATAACAAATCCTACAGGTGATTCTGATATACTTTTAAGTTTGAGAACCACTGAGACGCACTCTTAGAGACTGGTAACATTTATCTTGTGGATATACCAGGGTTTCTTCTTAATAATTCCCTTACTTATAAACACTCAAGTTTACTTTAAAGCACTCAGAAGAAGCATGTTATCCTATTTAAATAATTGATGTTTATGATGATCAGATGTTATTTTTGAACAAAATATATAACTAAAAGTTGATACACTGGAAAAGAGAGAGAGAATTTCAGTACAAATACAAAGAAAAGAATTCTGGACACTATGGAGTCTCACTTTATACCATATCTATTCTGCAGGTCTATTTTTAAAGCTAAGAAGAAAAAATACAGTATGATGAGATTTTGTTGCATTAAAAATCATTTAATGCTGAGACTCTAGTGATTTCTTTAATATTACTTTAATCCCTTATAAGCATTCCCGAATGCTTTATAAATACTTTTTGTTGCAATTATTATTAAACCATTTAAGGTGCAAAAAAGCTGAGGGTTAAGTGCCCCCATTATACTTGGTGATTACTGCAGGAGTCCTTACTATAATGGTGCTACTCTTCTCTCCATACAGGTGAGTGGGTTAGCACAGTTCAGCAATACTGGGCTCGCACAGAGCTTAAGGCAAAGGTTGCTCATTCGCCACCAAACTTTGCACTTTGCCTTACACAGTTCAAAGAATTACAGGGAAATTGCTGCCTGAATACAGCCACATTTCACATCACCCTTTGCTTGCATTTAAGGAGGGTCATATGAATAGTTCTCACAAATGGAAGGTTAATGGAAGAGACGAGGGTCATTTCAGGTCTTTTTCTTTCTCCTGTGTCCTTTTTAAAGAGGACAGAGAGACCCTAGGAGATACTGGAGCTGTTAGATTGGACAGAGTCTAAGTCCCTAAATCACCAGGTAGAAGAAAATCACCTTATATCAAAAACACCCACACTAGGCTTCTAAGTAAATGAGGAATACTTTTTAATGTGTTAAGCTATTGAAACTCTGGCATTTATTTTTTATTGTACCTATGATCTCCAAATAATATGGGGCTTAAATGACCTTTTCTTTCTTTCTTTTTTTTTTTAAGACAAATACCACTATCTCTGATCATAGAAAGTCACAAGCACATGGGATATTAGAAAAGGAAAAAGAATGTTATAAGCAAAGAACCTGTTTTATCCCCATTTAATAGATGGTAAAACTGAGATCTCTACATGTTAAGTAATTTGACAGCACATAGCTAATGAGTTGTACAACTAGGGTTCCATTTCATGACTGTAGACTCTAATACGCCAGATACATCAACACATTTAAACCACTTCTCTGACTTGGTAGACAGAATCCCATGAATTTATAGCAAGCGTTCTCTAATATATGTAGGATCAGCTAAGTTCACTTAAACGTTACAGCCTTACTGAAAAAATTCTGCTATATTCCTATGTGTATGGAATTTTCACTGTTACTAAATTCAAGTCATTGACAGAAAACCATGATCTCAAATGTTAGCTCTGTAGTGAGAAATAATAGTACTAGCATATAATGCTGTTGTGAGGGTTAAAATAATATATAAAATAAACAGAGTTCAATGCCTGGCTTCTAAATGCCAGTCCATTAATATAACATCTGATTTCCCCAACTCTCCTCCGCTCAGAGGGCCAGTATTCGGGGCCAAAGTGTATCAGAGCCTCCACTTTTTGTTCTGTTTTTCCACATTCAATACAGTATTTAATTTACTAATAAACAAAAAGTTTGTTTTGTATTTCTTGCCTTGTGTTGTAAGGTTTTTGGAAGAGGGTGTGTACAATTTAAAAATTACGAAGTAAAGAGAAAACCGTGAGTACTAATTTATTTGCTGTGATTTCTAAACAGGTGTTTTCTTTCCTGGTGTTCTAGTAATGGAAGTGTTTTGCCCTGTGAATCTTACGCAGTTTTCCTTCCTATCCCATTGCTTTGTTGTTGGTCCACTTTTAGATTTTGTTTTTAGTCCTTCTGATGTTTCTCTTCTCTAGTTTTCTGTGTCTTTGAGTTTTTTTCTTGAAATACTTGTTTTACTTTGATAAAATACACGATACAAATTACAATTTTAATCATTTTTAAGTATACAACTCAGTGGCATTAGGTACATTCACATTGTTGTGTAACCATCACCACCATAAATCTCAGGAACCTTTTACATCTTCTCAAATAGAAATTCTGTACATGTTAAGCAATAACTCTCCATTCTCTAACCTTCACTTCCAGCCCCAGGCCACCACGATTATATGTTTAGCTTTGGTCTTTTTTTTTTTTTTAAATAGCCTTCTATTCTAGAATAATTTTAGATTTACAGAAAATTTGTACAGAGAATTTCCATGTATGTCACAGGCAGTTCTCCCTATGGTTAATATCTTACATTAGTATGATACATTTGATACAACTAATATACCAATATTGATACTTTAATATTAACTAAGGCCCATACTTCATTGATATTCCTTAGTTTTGACCTACTGTCCTTTTCCTGTGCCAAGAGCCCATTCACGACACCATACTGCATTTAGTCCACCTGTCATCTTAGGGTGTCTCTTTGGCATTCCTTGCTTTTGATGACCTTAACAGTTTTGAGGAGTACTAGTCAGGTATTTTCTAGAATATCCCTTAATATGGGTACAGGATGTTTTTCTCATGATTAGGCTGAAGTTGTGGGTTTCGGGAGAGAGACCACAGAGGTAAAATGCCATTTTCATCACATCATGTCAAAGGTACCTACTATCAACATGACTTAATACTGATGAGATTATCCTTGGTCAGCTGACTGAGGCAGTGTTTGTCAGTTTCTGCATCACAATTACTCTTTATCCCCTCTTTCCATATTGTGCTTTTTTTGCAGGAAGTTGCTATGTGAATCCCACACTTAAGAGAAGGCAGTTATGCTCCTACATAAATTATTTGGTATCCTATATGGGAGAATTGTGTATTCTTCCCAATTATTTATTCATTCAATGACTGATTTATAATAATGTGGCCTATGGATACTTATTTTATACTTTGAGTTGCAATCTAATATCACATCTTTATTTTGTTGCTTAAATTGTTCCAGCTTTGACCATTGAGAAGTCTTTTAGTTGGTTCCATATGTTCCTTTGAGAAACTTTCTTGCTTCCTGGCATTGTTAGATGCTCCAGCCTAATCTTGTAAATTCCCTTCCCCAGCTCTAGAATCAGCCATTTCTCCAAGAGCCCTAGTTCCTTTTATTGAAGAACGGCACTAGAAACCAAGTTCAGGGGGCTGGTTATGCTCATTGATACCAAAGTGTTATTGTTTGTAGGTCCTCTTCAAGAACCCAGTTTGGAAATACAGGTATGTATACAAACCCATGTATATACACACAGAACTTTCTATATTCATCCATCTGCATGTATATTAAGCTAAAAATGAGTTCACACTGATGTCACAATTCTAGCCTATGTCTACATGGATCATTCTAGCACCTTTCCTTTGCTCTATAACTACCTGCTCCAACAGTGAGAAACCTTGCTTCCACCGTCAGCCATCCAACTAATTATTCAATTCCAGTATATAAGAATACTGGTCTCAGAACTGTTAACAGTTGTTAACAACCATTCTTTTTGCTTTCAGTTTCACAGATTCCATTCATTTCCAGTTACTTCAGTTAGCAACTTCCTCCCTTATTGCCTTCAGTAAGGTTGTTGTCTATATTTATAATATAGATATTATTTGTCACAATCTGCTTTCCATCCTGGGATTCTCTTGATGTTTTAAATAATTTTCTAATATTTGAATATATTAAAGTTTATTTTTGTGCTGCAAAATTCTATAGATTTTTATAAATGCATAGTACATTTGTACATTTCAAAGTACACAGTATATTAATAAATGCATAGTACCTCATACGTGCATAGTAACTACCATTACAGCACCATACAAAAGAAATTTCCCTATCCTAAAAAGATTCACTGTGCTTCACCTTTTCAATCTCCTCTACAGCCCCTAGTAACCACTAATCTGAAAACCCTCTCTATGGCATTGCCTTTTTTAGAATATTATATAAATGGAATTATACAAGATGCAGCCTTTTCAGACTGACTTATATCACTTAGCATTATGCATTTAAGGTTCATACATGTCTTTGCATGGTTTGAAAGCTAATTCCTTTTTATCACTCAATAATATTCCATTGTATATATCACAGTTTGTCTGTCCACCTATTGAAGGATATCGTGGTGGCTTCCAGTTTTGGGTTATTAAGAATAAGGCTTCTATAAATATTTGCATGCAGGTTTTTGTGGGACATAAATATTCAAATCTGTTAGGTAAATACCTAGGAGCACAATTGCTAGATCATGTGGTAAGAGTATGTTTAGTTTTATAAGAAACTGCTAAACTGTATTATATTTCATTATACCCATTTTGCAACCCCATTAGTAATGAATAAGAGATACTGTTGCTGTGCATCCTTGCCAACACTTAGTATCATCAATTTTTATAATTTTAGCTATTTTAATAGTGTGTAGTATATTTCATTGGGGTTTTCAATTGCATTTCCTTTATGACAAATGATGTTGAGCATCTTTTCATATGGGTATTTGTTATGTTTGTATGTTTTCTTTGGTGAGATATCTGTTCATATGTTTTGCCAAATATTAATTTACATTATTTATTTTCTTCTTGTCGGGTTTTAAGGGTTCTCTATATATTCAGAATACTATTCTTTTATCACAATGTGATTTCCATATACTTTCTCCCAGTCTATGTCTTTTCCTTTCATTCTTTTAATACTGTCTTCTGCATAGCAAAAGTTTTAAATTTAAGCAAATTATAGTTTATCAAAATTTTCTTTCATGGATTATGCTTTTGGTGTTGTATCTAAAAACTCATCCACAAATCCAAGATTGTACAAAATTTATTCTATTTTTCTACTAGAAGTTTAATTGGTTTGCATTTTACATATATGTCTATGACTCATTTTGAGTTAATTTTTTTTGTAAAGTATGAACTCTAAGTTCATATTTTTGCATATGGACACCCAATTGCTCCAGCACTATTTTTTGAAAAGACTATCCTTTCTTTATTGAATTATTCTTGCACTTTCATAAAAAAGTCAGTTTACTATACTTATCTGGGTCTATATGGGGGCTTGCTATTATTTTCCATTGATCTATGTATCTAATTTGCCAACACCATGCTTTCTTGATTATTGTAGCTTTATAGTAAGTCTTAAATCATATGAGTTCTCTAACTTTATTCTTCCATTTTAGTTTTGTATTAGCTAATCTCAGTTCTTTGCATTACCATATAAATTTTGCAACAATTATGCCAACATATAAAAAAAGTTTGCTGGGATTGTGACTGGGATTACATTGAATCCGTGGTTCAATGTGAAAAAAATTAATATCTTTACAATGTTAAATCTTTCCATCCATGAACATGAAATATCACCCAATCTCATTAGACTTTCTTCAACTTATTTTATCAGAGTTTTCTGGTATTCCACATACAGCTCCTTGATATATTTTGTCAAATTTACCCCTAAGTATTTCATTTTTTGGTGATATTTTTAACAGTAATTTTTAAAATTTCAAGTTCCACATTTTTATACTGTTGGTGGTAATGTCAATTATTTCAACCATTGTGGAAGACATTGTGGTGATTCCTCAAAGATCTAGAGGCAGAAAAACCATTTGACTCAGCAATCCCATTACTGGGTATACACCCAAAGGAATATAAATCATTCTGTTACAAAGATACATGCACACCTATATTCACTGCAGCACTATTTACAATGGCAAAGAAATGGAATCAACCCAAATGCCCATCAATGATAGGCTAGATGAAGAAAATGTGGCACATATACACAATGGAATACTATGCAGCCATAAAAAGGAACAAGATCATGTCCTTTACAGGGACATGGATGGAGATGGAGCTTTTATCCTCCGTAAACTAACCCAGGAACAGAAAACCAAACACCACATGTTCTGTCTTATGAGTGGAAGCTGAATGATGAGTACACATGGACACACTGTGGGGCAAACACCACACTCTGGGGCCTATCCAGGGTGGGGGTCAGGCGAGGGAGAGCATCAGAAAAAATAGCTAATGGATGCTTGGCTTAATACCTAGGTGATGGATTGATCTGTGCAGCAAACCACCATAGCACACATTTACCTGTGTAACAAACCTGCACATCCAGTGCATGAACCCCAGATAAAATAAAAGTTGAAGAAAAGAAATTTCAAGTTCCAATTGTTCATTTCTGGAACATAGAAAAACAATAGACGTTTGTACATTGATATTGCATCTTGCTTTACTCACTTATTTGTTCTAGAAAGTTTTTTTTAATAGACTCTTTGGTGTCCCTCCATAGAAAATTATGCTATCTGCAAATAAAGACAGCTTTATTTCTTTTTTTCATTTGGGTCTTTTTTAATATATTGATTCTCTTCCTCTTCAACTGGACCACATTCAGTACTTTTTCCACAGACCATTCTGACCCCTCCATATCTCCTTCTCAGAGTATTGATCTTCTACCTAGTCTTATAAGACCTGCTTGTCACATTGCTCTATCTTACTCAGCTCCCCTGCAACAACCACCATTCTTACTCCACTATTTTAAATGCCCTAATTTTTCAGTCTTGACTAGCAATGCTGCCAGCAAAAATAAACAAACAAACAAAAAACCAAAACAAAACAAAATGTTTTTGCTTAAGCAAAATGCTTTGCTTATGTCCTCTGTAGACACAATTACTATACTGCAATTATTCAGACAGCTCCTTTGACCACAGAACTGCAAGTTGGAGACAAACTGTAAGGACTCTTCATAGAATAAATTCAGACACTAATTGCACAATTTTCCTGAAAACACTACCTGTGGAACAGTGAGGTCTATCATGGTCACTTATACATTTCATTAAGACCAGATAAAATACATGAACGCTAGCAAAAGACCCTTTATATTGAATTGTGACTGTAAATATGTCATACTGAGATATCAACCTAAAACTCTTTCATTTTACTGACAATACATTCATTGTGTCCTATTTCCTCTTCTTGTCACCTGTCTAATCTTTCCTTTTAATCTTCACAACCAGGTTCTCTGCCCAAACTCCCATCTCTTTCAGTTGTTTCCTCTGAATTCCCAAGGATTTTATTGTCTGTGCACCACTGATTCTATTGAACTATTACACAATGGAGTTTTTAATATTGTTTTGTTATATGTATATGTGTGTAGTACATGGGTGTGTATATGTAGATATGTATATATTTATGTGTGTGTGTATATATATGTATGTGTGTATATACATACATATATATATACAAATATATGCATATACCTTTTTAAAAGTCTTGTTTCTTCATGTTGAAGAAAGCCACTTGAGGGCCAAAATTCCATTTTATACTTCTTTGCAATCTGTATTCAATCAATTATGTTTGATTGATTTTGATTTCTGTTTTTAAGCAAAGACATTGCTCTAGTTTCAGTATGAACTGAGGAAATAAAACCAACTGCTAAATATGAGTTAAGTATATTTTTAGTTCTACTTATAACCACAGTAAATGTGTATGAGTTAAGTTTAAGCTCAGCTGTAAGTTTCTAAAAAGGCCAAAACAGCAGCAGCTTAGAAAGGATACAGACTTATTTCTTCCATGTGAAAGAAGCCTGGAGGTAGGAGACCAGGCCATTAGGCCTGCATCACACAATTGTTTGGGTCTCAGCTTTTTCTCTCTGACAACCTCTCAATCCCCAGTATGCAGCATCTCCCTCATGATAGAGAGGGCTGCTCCAACACAATTCATATTGGCTACATTTCAGCCTGCAGCAAAGAGGGAAGGAAGAAGCACCCCATGTCCCCACCTTTAAGAAAAGATCCCCAAATTCCCACAGGTTTTTGTTGACACCTCTTTGCCAGAATTTAGCTCAGAGGCACATCTAGCTGCAAGGGACTTTGGGAAGTATAAGGGGAGAATAGCCACAAGGTCAATTACTCACAAGGTCCCTCTATCTAGAGGAAGTACCTTCCTTCGTGCATGTTTGTATCAGCAAAAGTTGCATGTTCTGTAGTAATCAGGCAAGCATTTGCTGAAAGACAGTGGAGTCACTGATTGAATAATTCTCCTTCTTTCTGGAATTGTCCTATGACCTGCTTCCTAGACTTTTCCAGAGGGTCATCTTTGTAGTCATGACTACAAACACCTCTTCCCCAACAGAAACTTGCAGTGTTCACAACCATATCTTTCCCCAAAATACTCCCAATCATTTTCTCCAGTTACATGATTTACCATCTTACTACCTGGTTTCTTAAGAAGCCAGGCTCTTTTTCTTTTTTTTCTTTTTTTTGAGATGGAGTCTCGCTCTGTCACCCAGGCTGGAGTGCAGTGGCACGATCTCGGCTCACTGCAAGCTCCACCTCCCGGGTTCATGCCATTCTCCTGCCTCAGGCTCTTTTTGTCTTCTAACCACTTGAAACTAGAGCAATCCTGAGATTTCAGAGCTATTTCTTCATGGAATTCAATAAAAAATTTAACTTAAAAAATTCATCATCTTTATGTTTCATTTTATCTTTCAGGCCTAAGTCCATTCATTGGTTGTTATAGTAACATTATAAGTAGCCCTAAAAGAAATACTGAGTATTTTCATGGACAACTCCAACAATATTTTTTGACAATTCCAATTCCATTAATATGGCTATATTCTCAACTTATCAGCAAATAAATTAAGTATATCTATCAATTACTTACATAGGTTGCCCCACTAATGGAAATTTCCATTAAAATGGATCCAAGGAAATATAAAAGAAAGGCACACATGAAATTTATTTTAGACATATCACCTAGCTCCAATTGGAGTCTGTTCTTTCCCTTTTCTGCCTTCTGGTTTGGTTTCAGGTCTGCTTATCAGAGTTCATGTTCTTGATTACTTTATTAGTTAGCTAGCACTGTCAGAATAAGGCACTTACCTTTGTAAAGCTCCCTTACAACAAAATATGAAATAAACATTTCAAGACAATGGACTGCATATTTTTTCCACTATAAACTCTAGAACTTTAATTATACAAAGTGCTTGCTATGACATTATTGTCTTTTATTCCATAAATAGCACAATACAGAGGTAATTCCCAAGGTAAACCACATTTGTTTCTCTCAATCAGCATATTCTTAATTCTTTTCTGTTTATAGCTTTATACAGGAACCCTCTGGATCTGCTTTGCTGCTTAACATCAAAGCTAAGGCTATCCTGGGAATATGGGCTATTTATTTCCATAGTTTCTATATTTAGCACTTGGCTTTGTTTGCAGTCATTTCTTCTCCACTCCATAAATGCTTTAAAATCCCAATTTCTCTAGAAAGCCTGTATCCTCCTTCTATCTGTCTAGCTAGCTAGCTTTCCACTGAGTTATGCATTTACTTCTTATCTTTCAGATGATTCCTGTTTATTTCCTCTTTGATTTCCTTCTGGAGAGGAAGGAAATCGCCTTTTGGAACTCAAGAAGCCTTCCAGAGACATAACTCCTACTATTTGCTGCTCTCTTTGGGATTCCAAAAGCAACTGTTGAATGCAATTTGAGCTCTTGGGACAGGGAGAGGCTTTTCACTCAAAAAGTCAATGGATTTATTTAATGGCTCATTTAAAAAGTGAACATTACTTTTCTTGCAAGGCAGGTTAAGAGTCCTCGAACAGAATTTTGCTTGTCACTGCCTTGATTAATGTAACAACAAAATACAAGATTAAGGCAGTGTGTATTTAACAGTTTAAATTATAACTCATGATTACTTTGAGAAAAGGTACAATGTGAGCTGTGTAGACTAAAAAGAAAGAGAATGTTAGGAAGCAGTATAAATTAAATCTTTATTAAGCTAGGGGCCTTGCTTTGGTGCAAAGCTCCTGCATTTAATTCTCATGACTGATCAAGAACAAGGTCAACATAACATTCTTAAAATGTCAAAATCATAGTTTTTAAATTACTCAAGCCTTGAAAATCAGGTTTGCTTAATTTTCTTTATTGCATGTAGGCCTTTCATCATGAGTAAATACAAAGGATTGAGTTGTACAGGCAGGCAAAAATGGAGGGAGAGAAAACACAGAAGGGTGAAGTTTGTTAGCAGGAAAAGGTTGAAATTAGTTTAGTCAGCTTTGCAGTTTGGGGTGACAACCTGAATACTTTTACTATCTTCACCTTGTCTGGCAATTATATTCAATAAGTTATTTTCTTTTTAAAAACACGATAGAAATCTGGTACACTATAAAACTTCTCTTATAATTTTTACCTTGCCAAGACCTAACGTAAAACACAAATATCCTTGGCCTCTTTACTTTATGTGAGGACCATACCAAACCTCACTGGACCCTTCAAAGCAGAAACTGTGGCATCTTCTCTCTTCTGCCAGTTTAGATGCTTGAGGAAGATGTGATTTTCTAAAAACTGGCCAAAATTGGGTCAAGAGGAAAGAGTGATATCATTAAAAGAATGTAGTTTTCATTTTGCAGATGCCTCTGCTCTCCTTTGTGCCTGGATCAGCTTAGGAAGAGAATTGGCTTTCACCCAGCACATCTTCAGGATCCCTAGAGATCAATCATTCTCAACTGGGGGCAATTTTGCCTCCCATTGCCTCCACCTTGCCCTTTCTCCAGTCCCGGGCATTTGGCAAAGTCTAGGAATATTTTGGATGTCACCCTGGTGGGATGCTGCTGGCATCTAAGGGGTCAAGTGCAGGAGTGCTGCTGAACATCCTACAATGCCCAGGGCAGCACCTGTGACTGCTGGAGGACAGTGCCTGGACCAGAAAGAGGGTTTGGCCAGGCAACTACGATCATTTGCTACTCAAGGCTTTCCATTCCACAGCCCTGAGGAGTAGGACTATGGCTCATTCACATGAACATCATCAAAAATAAACTATTTTTAAACACGAGGCCTGATGAGTTTGGGCTCCCTTTTAAGCTTAGGGTCATTCGCTGAGGACATCAATGTTCTAAACCCCCGGCTTGTCCCCTGACTTAAACACTATCAATCAAGGGTACCAATGGGTGAAAACACAAAAAAGAATAAACAGTAAAAGGAACCCAAGTTTCAAACTGAAGCACATTTCAAATCCTTCAAATGCATCCATGTCAGCACATAAAAGGACCCAGAGCAAACAGCCCAGCTCTTTCCTTTTTCCTACTAAGGCTTCGTGAAGAGTGAAAGAAGAGCCAACTTTGACAGTTTTGAAGCTTCTTTACTTTTCAAAAATTCTGAAAATATGGAGAGCGAGTATGCATTGTACCAAATGTACTAAAACATAATTGCCAGTTGGTTAGAGTAGTTTCCTGCCTTTAATTGCCTCGGGTTATGCTGCATAAAGAAAACACAGATCATTAAGGGGCAAAAATTCCTTTCAGCGTGCCAAATTTGCATCTATTGTGCTCACTTTCACCAATGCTTATATCTTTTCTTCTTTTAACTGTCCTGAACGTTCAAACATTTGCTTGCAGCAAACACTTCCCTGCTCCCTCATGCACTTTCCTTTGAAAACCAGACAAAAGCAAAACCTAGAGGAGTTCAAGTCAATTGCCTTTGTGAGTTACACCACCTGATTTTCATTGGGCTCAACAAGATTGAGTTTAGGATCTGGTTAGGCCTACAAGTGTGGGCTTAATCCTGTTGGGGTGAGCACCGGGAGCAGATATACTACAGGGGACGTGACTTTTTCAGGGAATCGCTGGAGCAGGTGGGCTGCAGTACTGGGAGGTGAAGCTGGAAAGGAAGGCTGAAGCCACAAAGGGTGGAACACCATGAGAAGCCTAGAACTTGCGCATGAAATGGGAAAATAATAAAGGATGTGGATGTACATGGATAAAGCCAGTGCACCATGCAATAGAGAAATCAAATTTTAGCTCAGACCCCATAAATAAAGTGACTGTTCCCACCCAAAGCAGCAGAATAAAATGTTCCCTTTTGTACTTGTGTGCAAAGAAGAGGGTGGACTAAGGACACGGTGCCCAGTTGGCACAAACTGCGAGACCAAACAAACCCACAAAATCCATCTCTCGGGTTGGTTAGTAAAGCTGGAAGCTAGCATCTGGCAGTGCATTCTGGAGGCAAGTCAAGCTTCTTTATGGACTGCACTTGAAGTATTTACAGATTCAAAGAAAAAGAATTAGGACTAAGATCCCCCAACAAAACAAACATCAGCAACAACAAATAATCCTTGCATCTAGCTGCCTGGAAAAGAAATGGCATGAGATCCCACAGAAGACAATTAACAAAAATAGGGCAGACCAATGTGAAGGTTAGGTCAGAGCAGGACAGAACAGCCTCTCTCTGGCTGGACACTAGCCACTTTCTCAAGACATTGGACATGGAGGTTGACAGTGGAATCCTGATGTCAACGAGTACGTCAGCCAATCCTGATATCCTACAAAGCATGATGGCTTTGTACTTGGTATTGTCTTATTACAGGTTACTAAAAAGTTTGCACACATCACTCTATAGTATATGTTTATTCATTTTCAATAAATGCTTTTGTGGTCTGCACAAGTTCCTGAAATAAAGAATTCTCTAAATCACTGATAAATACAGGCATGTGAACTGGGTGGGCTATATCTCATAGCAGCTATTGAGATAACCAGAGGGGCAGGCCTCTGAAAAACTTCTTAGGGCTGCTTATACCTAACTGTGTGTTACAGCATGCCAAGAAGCCTGGAAGTATACTAAATGATCCATTGAGAATCGTTAGCAGTTTTTAAAACATGTACAAAGTAATTATTTTTAGAATTTTAAAGGATAATTCTGGTGACAGTGAAACAATGAAGTACAGGTGACAGAGAGAAGTCACGGGCTACTACAATAATCTAGGATGGTGGATCTCAAAGTGGGGTTCCCAGACCATCAGCAGCAGCATCACCTGATAACTTGTTAAAGATACAAATTCTGGGGCACCATCCTAGACCTACTCAATTAGAATATCTTGCCATAGGGCCTAGAGATCTGTGTTTTCACATGCCTACAGGGGATTTTGAGGCCTCCTCTGCCTTGGAAAGTTCTGGGCTAGGATCTTGCTATACAAAGTGTGATTTGGTGGACCAATGGCACTGGCATCTCCTGGAAGCTGGCCAGAAATGTAGAATCTCAGGCCCCATCTCATACCTGCTGAGCCAGGATCTGTATTTTACCTAGAGCCCCACATGCTTGGTACACACATTAAGTTTGAAAAGTGGACTAGGAGATGAACAACAATATCCTAAAAGGGAGAGTCGCTGTGGGAATGAGAAGGAGGTGCAGACTGGAGGAATGTTTTGGGCGATTAGTGAACAGCTTCTCCCTCAAATACTTGACTTATAATCCAATTGTATAAAACTATTCCTTGGATATCCATGTGGATGGGATTTATTGGACTGTTGGGATTTGAGGGCCCCCAGCATCTACTGTAGCTGAATAATACTTTTCATTCTGTGGGGCTACCTATTGACCTTTCTACTCATCCTCTTCCAGAAAAATGCAGACATTTCTGAGAGAGGTTTTATATGTAAAGTCATTAGTGTAACACTTCCAAGGATTTTTTTGTCTCTTTCTTTGGGAAGTAATAGGCAGCAGACAAGGGTGCCGTGAGGACCCACCAGAGAGGCAGAGATGGGATTTGCTGAGAACAGGTTAGACTCAGTTCAGGGTTTCTAGGCAGACTGGCTCTTGCGCCGGGCTATTCAGGCTTGCCAGTAACAGATCAACAGTTCACAGGAGCACTACCAAGTTGGGAGAGTATGCTCTGGATTCATGTAATGAAGGCAAAGTTCATCCTGGAGATGGAACTGAACAGGTGGGAAACACCTGCTCTCTCTATCTGCAAAATGTGTTACAATCTGCTTTCCCTTGCCAATAATCCATGAAGGCCATGGCTTTAATGATTAAGTGGAAAGTCAAAGGAAAGAAAATATAGACCAGTGCATCTTCCTTATTTTGCTTTAACTAGGATCTAGTTTCAGTTCATCTTAGATTATAAATTCATTAATGAGTAAACTAATGTATATTTTGTTTACAAACTTCAAGTTTTAGAAATTTATAGTCTTACTCTAAGACTTACACAAGACCCACAATGCAGTTCTTCATCATTTATGACTGCTTTGCACACTCGATGCAAAATGAGATGAATTCCTCACTGTGTGTGATCTATTTACTGCTTGAGCCATCACAAAGCCAAACCTTTAAATTCTCAACACTCCAGAGCAAACAAAATGTTAGTTCTCTCCAGGTGGTACCTTTAAAGATGTTCTGTCTCACCAAATCTCTCTTTGTGCCCCTAGAAAGCATGGGGACACAGCTTAATTCACTGTTTTTTTTTTTCTGTCAATGATTTATATCACAGATCTTAGCATCAAAATAGATGGGTCTGAATTCTCATTATGTTACTTACAGCTTTGGAATCAAGGCAAGTTATCTAGCCTCTTTGAACCTCAGTTTACACATACAAAAAATGATGATAGTAGTTCCTACTTCATAACATTATTTTGAATATTAGACGAGCTAATTTAGGACAGAATTAGCACATAGCAGGTCATTAATGAATGTCAGGGATCATTATTGACAAATGTGCAATTGTTACAAACTTCCACATGAAATGTTAACATCTACATAAATAAATGAGAAGGTCAGATATAATTAGTGCTATTAAAAATATAAAGGAGGTAGAAAGTCAGGCCAAAGGTTGAAGGAAGCTGCTTTGATTAGGATCGCTTGGGACTGGGAGGGCCTCTGCAAAGGGGTTATATCCATGATGAGAAGAAACATCCCCATGAAGATCTGAGAGAAAAGAATCCAGGAAGAAAAAACAGCAAATCCGGTGTCCCAGAAGTTAGGAGAAGAGCACCTTTCAAAAAAGAAGTAGGCCCATCAGGCATATAAAGTGAGCCTAAGGGGTCAAGTTTCATGAAAAGGAATGACAAGATGTTGGACATTGGCAACTTTTCAGCAGAGTGGAGCGGACAACAGTTATAATGGAGTGTGTTGGGGTGAGACTGGGAGGAGGGGAAGCACAGTGAAGACTCTCTACAAAGTCTTCCTTTAGAGAAGTTAATGAAGACTTTCTAAGGAGTTTGGCTGTACAGGAGAGCAGCAAAGTCATGGAATGAGTAGTACCTGTTGATTTCATGTTGGTGATGAGGAAGTACTAACCAGAGAGGGGTAATGTGAGTGAAGGCATGGGGAAGAGAAGCTTTGTGATGTGTATATGGGAGGGGGGCATGGTGGAACAAGGGAAAGGAGGTTGGTCCACATGTAGGCTTGTGATACCCAAGCATGATTCTGGAGCAAGAGGCAGAAGGGATGAGTGTGAAGAGCTGTACTGGTTCATGGGCATCTTGCCTGAAAATAGCAGGGCCAAGGAAGAGCTTGGAACAAAGTGGGCAGCAGGTAGCTGACACTGTTTAAAATAAAACCAATGACCTTTCTGTACCCAGGGCTCATGAAGTCCTCTCTGTTGAGACTGGGAAAGGCACCCTAGACTCCATGAGATCACAGGAACATCAGGAGCACAGAATGATAGTGTTTAGGTATTCGGCCGGTGGTAACAATTCATTTTTAAAGGGGAGGTACTCTATGTGTTAAAACTAGAATTTGGCCGGGCGCGGTGGCTCACGCCTGTAATCCCAGCACTTTGGGAGGCCGAGGCGGGCGGATCACGAGGTCAGGAGATCGAGACCATCCTGGCTAACACAGTGAAACCCCGTCTCTACTAAAAAACACAAAAAAATTAGCCGGGCGTGGTGGCGGGCGCCTGTAGTCCCAGCTACGCGGGAGGCTGAGGCAGGAGAATGGCGTGAACCCGGGAGGCGGAGCTTGCAGTGAGCCGAGATCGCGCCACTGCACTCCAGCCTGGGCGACAGAGCGAGACTCCGTCTCAAAAACAAAAACAAAAACAAAAAAAAACTAGAATTTAACAATATATTAAAATCCTTGAAAATGCATAATAGAGGTCTATTTTTAGCATGTAATCCTTAAAATCGAATCCTCATCCTGGAAAATATGAAACAGGAAATCCAAAGAGCCCCAGCTCAAGCTAGCAGGAGCTTTAAAGTTTGCCGTATAAATGGTGCTTGTTTCATTACAATTGTCTCAGAGTAACGGTTTGAGGATGAGCCTTGGAAAGGCAGAGGCCTAGGCAGGAATTCCTAGGTCCGTTCCCAGGAGGGTATTTCACTAGAATTATCAATTAAGGGGAATTAGAGAGTTGGAAAACCAATCATATGTAGGAAGTACAACAGGAGGGGTTGTGCTGGGAGTTACAGTAGTGTTTACTGAGCACATGCTATGTGCTGAGCCCTTTATAGGCATTAATGATTGAATTAACTTTTTAAAAGTTGTTTATTTATTTTTGTGAAGAGACAGGGTCTTACTTTGTTGCCCAGGCTGAAGTGCAGTGGTGTGATCACTGCAGCCTTGAACTCCCGACCTCAAGCGATCCTCCCATCTTGGCCCCCCAAAGCACTGAGATTACAGGCATGAGCCACAGTGCCTGGCCCCATTAACTTTTTAATATAGCATTCTGATCCCCATTTTATAGACAAGAAAACAGAAACTTGGGGTTGTTAAGTAACTGGCCCAAAGTTATGTATCTTGTAAGAGACAGCTCATGACTATGAAGTTTCAGTGATGAGGATCAACCAAAAAAATCACCAACAACAGAAGAGAGTTTTTGTGAAGCTGTATGAATACACATGAACTGGGCGTGAGAGAAAACAGGCAGAGGTGAGGTCAAGGTGCAAGTGGGCTGAAAGCCAGTCCCGGAATTAATTCTGTAACACAGCCAGTCTGCATGGTGTAACTTTTAATGGAAGGTTGTCAGGCATCGCTGGGCTGAGGAGCAGTTCTGGGAGTAAATGAGCTGGTCTTGCTGGCAGGGGCAGGATCAATTACCTCTCCAATACACTATCTCCATAATTCCATTGCCTCCTGTCCCCAGCCTATCATTCTCTCCTCCTCTTTCCAGCTCAGTGATATATAAGACTGTGGAAGTGCCCACATGAGGAGCAAGTGACAGCATACCACTGTGATCAAGACCATCTTTGTTCTCTCCCACACTCCTGGTGAGATATAAAGTGACACAGAACTTCAGAAAACTGAGGTTTCTAATAAAGCAAAATGGACACCTGCTCCATGACTCAGTAAGTCCCTTCCTAGTTAATTGCCCAAGAGAAATGAAAATGTATGTCCATGAGAAGACCTGTACAAAATTGTTTATGGCAGCTGTACTCATCATAGCTTACAACTGGAAAGAATGTAAATGTCCATCAACTGGACAGTAGATAAACAAATTGTGGTAAAGTCATACAAAGAAACACTTCACAGCAATAAAAAAGAGGAATGCAACATGGAACAACACGGATGAATCTCAAAAAAAATTACATTGCACGAAAGAAGCCAAACACAAAAACACACCATGTGATTCCACCTAAATGAAAGGTAATTATCAGTAAACTAAGCTGGATGATAAGATAATAGTCATCACTGGGTATTTTATGTGCGTGCAGGGGTAGGAGAGAGAGGTATTGACTGGAAGAGGGCACAAGAGAATTTTCTGGGACCATGAAATGTTCTATCTTAATCTACGCTGTGTTTACACAGGTGTATACATTTGTCAAAATTCACTGAGTGTTATATTTGAGATTTGTGCATTCTACTCTATATAAATTATATCTTAAAGAAGAACCGTTAATATACAAGATTAAAAATTGTACAAAAAACTTTTCTTGTTCTGACAGCTGGGTAAAAAATACCTCTTTATTGATGACTTTTAAGTTCATCTTTGTTCTAGCTCTGCTCCTTAGACTTGACCATCATCAACATCACAAGATGGAAAAAGAATCAATGAAACAGAGAATACCCATCAGAGGTGCCCTTTCTATTTAACAATTATCTTGGTACCAGAACACTTTAATGCTTTCTTCAAGAAAAGGGTATCGATGAAAAGACATTCCTCCCATTAATGTTAACAAAATAATTATAATGCTGGGTTCCACTGGCGGAATATATTCCCACAGAGAAATAGGGCTTTCTAAGCTTTCCTTATGAATGTGCAAAACTCCGTGAATAATTAACATGCCTCTCATTGTTAAAATCCTGCCCTTTATATTTTTGGAAGTATGAGAATATATTACATATTATTAAAATTTAATAAATTAAGGTATTTGGGAAATAGAAACAGACAGCCCCTGCTAATTCCTAGAACTGTGAATCAGTCCGGAAGTACCGCCACTGCCTTCACATCTCTGAATCCTGGACGTCTCTGGCTTCCTGAGAACCACAGTCTTGGTTACAGGCACCTTTCTGGGCATCATTCATCCCTCTCTGTTCATCCTTGTCTCCAGCAATGGTCATAATGTGCTGAAATGAGCACATGTCCTTGCCATGGACAACTCTACAACTTTAGATGCCAGGACCTCACTCTTACTCATTTAATCAATCCTTTTCATTTTCCTTATAGAAAAACATTTTAAGGAGTGAATACTAAATCTTAAACATAGTTAACTTACCAAGAAGATAAACCGCTTTGGAAAAGAAATCACTTATTTCCACTTGTCTTTTAAGAGAGAATGCTTAAAACCCTGGTGTAACTTTGCAAAAGGGTTTCTAAATTGTTCAAACCAACATTGAAATCCCAGTGTCCTCTAGTTTAGCAAGGGTCACCAAATTATCATTATGAATTTATAAAAGTTTCAGATGTATCTTACAAGTGCGATTTTAAGGCCTATTTCATGAAATTTAAATAGGATAGTCCAACATTTTCCATATGTCTAAGGCAATTCAATAAATAAGTTAGAAATTACAAAATGCAGCATGGATGCTCTCAAAGGCTAAATGTCTATTTAAAAGACTAAATTATCAACAAAGATGGTACCATAATGGTACAAAAATAAAAACTCACATTTTGATATAAGGTGACATCTTATTTTGCATCATCCTAATGAATTGTTCCAATATGGCTATAACAGTGAGATCCTCAACTTGGAAGCTAGACTGCCTGGGTTCAAGTTCCAATTCTACCACACAAACTGGGTGACTTTCACCAATTATTTAATTTTCCTATACCTCACATTCTTTATCAATAAAATGGGATAAAAATAATGCCTATTCCATAAGTCTACACTTTGGATTAAATAATTTAATGCATATAAACAAACCCCTTAAAGCAATGTTTATCACATAAGTTGTGTTTAATTGGTCTTAGTCATTATTATCTATTTTTATTTTTCATTCTGGTTCCTTCTATTAGCATTACTAGGGGCATAATTTAAATATAATCTTCATATTACTATGGGAACTGAATTAGACATATAGAAATGATCCTAAAATATGTAAATACATGTTTTTCTAAATAAAGATATAAGCAACCAGTAGAAGAGCTATAATATTTGTTTTGAACATTAAAAAAGGAAAGATTATAATCATAGTTATCATCACAGTGTTGTAGGCTATACTGGAGAAAAGAGAGAAATAGAAAAGAAAAAAAATGATGAATAATGGTGAGACAGTAAATGAAACACCTATATAATCAACATTCTTTTCCATAGAAAATAATAAAGTTAAAATCAAGATGAAATAAAAACTTCAAGTTATATGGAAATTTAGGGTTATTTTATCCCATCCCAAGACAGGAATCTATTTCTAGCATCCCTAGGGATGTTAAGCTAGACACCTATTCCTCAAAGTGTAGTCCTAGGACTACGATCACCTGGTATCTTGTTTGAAATCTCACACCCCAGCCCAGACCTCCTGAATCAGAACCTGCATTTTAACAAGATCCCCAGGAGATGTGCATGAATACTAAATGTGGAGACCTGCTGGCCTATGCTATTGTACTCATGGCAAGCCTGCTACTCATGAGGCAGTCTGTTCCACTGGTAATACTATCCCACTGAGAATCCTAGATACTCCCAATTCATAGAATGTCTTTATTATATGAAATCCAAATTTGATTCCCAGTTTAAGGAAAATACATGGGCCATAATCCCATTTTTGTAAAACTATTCTTAAATATATACGCATAATTAAAAACATGTACGTATATAGGTGTAGGTTTCGGTTTACACAGATAATCTTCTGAGAGGATAACACCTAACTGTTGACACTAGTAACCAATTTTTAAATGTGTTGTTTGCATTTCTTTCTGTAACTACCTTTTTACCCTTTAGTCTTCATTCTGTTGACCGCAGAATTCAAGATCAGTTTTAGGAATTCTTCCTCAGAGAGCTAAAAATAGCTTCCCGCATCCCCTTGGACTACTTTTCTCCAGGCTAAAGACTCTCCAAATGTTCCCACTGGATCCTGCTGCTCTACCAGCCTTGCCTCACCCTTCTGAATCCCTCCCTGCTGTGATCAACGTGCCTCTAGAAGCAGCGCCAGAACCCAAATCCTCCCTGACCAGCGTTATTGTAGGCAGTCAGCTATTCTCCAGAAGTCCTTTTTTCTTGGCTAATAACTTCTTCATTTAAAAATGCCATTTTAACAGTCATAGAAAAAAGAAGTTCCTAAGTCACATAAATTACTACAATGCTTTGCTTCTGCAGCGTTACAGATGTCCTGGAGATGCCAAGAAGAGCTCTGTATTTGCCTTGTAATGGCATTAATTGCATAGAACTTGATATGCATTCCTGAAGCAGAACAGAATAATTATAATGTGCATCATGCTTGAAGGAAGACATTGCAGGAGCACCAAGCAATCTCCAAGGCAGGAGGAGAGCAACTACGGGTGGGGACCAGATCTACTCATGTATACACAGAGACCCTCAAGTGTAGCCAACAGGGAAAATCATGAAACATGAATCAAGTTCCTAAAGATAAAGTGACAATTCATATAACAACACAAAACATAAAAATAAAGGACAAGACTTTAATGTGAACTATTTAGGAGGTTGTGGGTTAGAGGGAGGTGTCTAGGACTTTGTGTTAAAATTGTCATTTTTATGGTTCATCACCAAGGCAGTCTAGAATAGAGTTCCTCAACAAGTCAGCATGTCGTGAATGGTTGTGACAGCTCTGCCTAGATATTGACCCTTTGCCCTGGCTGGGTGAGACATCAGGAGTACAAAGTCCCAGCTTGTCACCTCCAGCACCAAATGGTCTGCATATATATTTTTACTATGTATACTATGTCACCAAAAAATTACAAGCACTGGTATAAAAATATTATTTTTTCCATCAACTTCCAGGGCCACTTTGAAAACATTTATTATAGCATTGGAGCAAAGCAAACACTCCCCAGGCAATAGGAAAAGACATTTGTAGTTCAAGTATTGATGAATAGAGCTTCATTCATTAAGACTTAGCATTGCATTAATCTGTGTCAATAGAATTTGGTACAGAAATAGGTATGGTTATAGGAAATTTTATGAAGAGTCTGAAACTCGATGTCTGAACTTTGACTAATTGCCAAGAGCACCTGAGAATGTTCTGCAATGGCATGTTGACCTTGCTACAAGGAAATAAGCAGCTATGCATGGAAAAGCATGGGGCAGAGGTAGGTCTGGGTCATAGACTAGCCTAGGATATAAAAGAACAAAAGACCACATAGAACCAGAATGACCACAGAAGAAAGAATTTGGACCTGTTTCAGGATAGCAACATTTCTCTAAGTCACGGCTGTCAAAAGGTTCACCAATTCTTTGTCAAGAAGTGACTGGAATTAAAACTGGAATGGCATGAATTAGAGTTGAATATTAACTTGAGTGTTTTATTTTTCTCTGGAAACCAGTTATTTACTTGACCAATAAACTAAGAATATATAAAAATATGGATCAGTACATTATGGCACTCAGTAAATTATTTCTAGTTTATTCCACTGTATGGTTTCAAATCTTGTTAACAAGTTATTTTTGTCACATTTATGAAGTCCGGGGAAGGAAAAGAATATTTATAATGAATGCCTGTTATTTGCTAGTGATTATAGTAAATGTTTTATGTATACCATTCAATTTAATGCTTATAAATCTATGAGGCAGATGATATTATTCTCAGTTACAGGTGAAGGAAGTGAAGCTTGCAGGGGCTTATTAACTTGCCTCGAATCATAGTTGTTAACAGAAAGATCTAGCTTTAAAGCTAATGTTTTCTTTTCTTTTCTTTCTTTTTTTTTTTGAGGTGGAGTTTCACTCCTGTTGCCCAGGCTGGAGTGCAATGGCGCGATCGCGGCTCATCGCAACCTCCACCTCCCGGGTTCAAGCAATTCTCCTGCCTCAGCCTCCCAAGTAGCTGGGATTACAGGCATGCACCACCACACCCGGCCAATTTTGTATTTTTAGTAGAGATGGGGTTTCTTTATGTTGGTCATGCTGGTCTCAAACTCCCGACCTCAGGTGATCCGTCCGCCTCCGCTTCCCAAAGTGCTGGGATTATAGGCGTGAGCCACCGCGCCAGGCCCAAAGCTAATGTTTTCTATTCCACTCAATGTTTATTCCACCACAGAATGCGAATTGAGAACCAAAACAGTCTTGTTGTAAAGAATATGTGCCCTGAATGATATATCCAGTAAGTAAGACCCAGTGCAGAGCAGGGGCCACACAGGGTCTCTACCAGTTGAATTGAACTACATGTCACAAGAATGCAGTAAAGATGCTCACATCTGTGGCTGCAAACATGCTCCTAAGACAGGGTTTCTCATCTTCAGCACTATCAACATTTTGGGCCAGATGCTTTTTAGGTTATAAGAGTACATCCTGTGCATTCTAGGAAGCTGAGTAGTATCCCTGGCCTCTACCCACTAGGTGTTAGTAGCAACCTCTCATAAGTTGTGACCACCAAAAATGTCTCCCAACATTGCCAAATGTTCCTTGGAGATAAGGACAATATTGCCCCTAGTTGGAAAACATTGCTCTGAGGCCATGAAATAAAAATTTTCGTTATCAAAACATAACAGGAGACACTGCTAAGTTCAATGACTTACTCAGCATTGTAAAAAGCTGGACATTCATGGAATCCCCACCTGGATGAAAGCAACAACACTTTTTACTTTTGGCACTAGTTAGCTGCCATAACACAGAACTCAGTGCCTTAATTCACTGCAAGATTATCCTTACTCATGTGAAAATCCAATGTGGGTATTCATGGTCAGATGGCTTTCCTGCAGGTGATTATTGAGGAACTCAGGCTCCAATGTCTTTGGCTCCATAATCTTCAGCACATGACTGGAATTCCCTCCATTCAATCAGGGACTGGGGAAAGGATGGTGAGGAAAGCGCATCTCTGTAACCATGTCATCCTGGAAGTGACACACATCACTTCTCCTCACATTTTATTGGTGAGAAATGGTCACGTAGTCCCTCGTTGAGAAGACTTTTGCCAGCAATTACCCTATGCCATGAAAAGGCACGTGTATTTTTAGTGATCAGCTAGCCATCTGTGCCACAGCTATGCACCTTCCAAAGCAGCTACATAAATATTTTAGTCAAATAAGATCCTAAAAGTTAAGCAAGTATGATTCTAATCATGTATGTGCTATTTTCACATCTTATACATGGTAAAGTTTGCACACAAATAGTTCTTCTGACTTGGGTTGACATCCTAGGGCTAGACTCCATAACTCTGGCTATGAGTTGAGAGTTCCTGCCTCAAAAGCCAGGTAGGGAGCACCATTAGCCAAAGAGAGGGACAATGTAGCAGTTATAAGCACTGTCACTAGAGTCTGACTACTCTAACCTTGGCTTTGCCACTGAGTGGCTACGTGTAATCTCAGGCAAGTCATTTAGTCTTTCCGCATCTCCATTTTCTCATCTAGGGATAATCATAGTTACCACACTATAGAGTGGTCATGAAGTTTAAATGAGATGCAACATGGAAAGCACTTAAAATAGTGTCCAGTACATTTTGATTATTGATAATATGCCACAAGTGATAACTAATACTTAATCTATACATTTACAGAATTTTCTGGTTAATATACATCACATTGAAATTCTATGTATTTTGGGATCTATTTAGGTTTTTCCACCTTAGCCTGTTTGCAAGGAACAAATAAAATCTGTCATTGACTTTGGCAAATTTGCTCAATTTGACAGTAGAATGCAGAAGCAGAGGCATCTGGGAAAGCAAGTGTCGATGAATCATCCCAAATCCTTCCCCACTGCTGGAAAGCAGCCCAAAGTGCAAGTCCCGCTGACAGCAAGTCAGTAGAATCATGTTCATTTAAATACCAAGGGCAGCACAAGGCATTATGAAAGATGGGAGCAAGGTCAAATGCTTTGTGTGTTCCTCTGCCAGTTCAGCGACCAGAAATTCTAGAGTCTCTTAAGAACAGACACCCGGCACCCAATCACATCTTCCAGTTCACGGTCTTGAATCACTTGTTTTACAGATGAGGAGACAAAAGTCCAGAAAAGTCCATGGTTAAATGGGACACATAAGCCTAAATCCTACATTTGCTAATTCTCGATCCAATTGTCTTACCTATGCTGCTTTGATGTGTATTACCTTACATTCCATAATTCTGCAGAGTGAAGTGATATTAAGCCATATGAAGCAAACACAAAAAATCCACAGAATACCTGTTAGTAAGGTGTCAAGTTCTTCCATATACCTCTTCTAGTTTAAGGGATATTTCCCCCAAACTGAAAGTGAGTTTCCACCTTCTATGAGCATTTGCCCTCATTTCTTTAATAAAACAAAATAACACCACTTTAACAACAAGCTCTTTGTTTAGGATCAAAATATTCCAAAGCCACTCTTTTAGTGAAGTGCCTTGTAACTGAAGATGTAATGGTTTGGTGGACTCAGACACCATGCTTCAGTAACTTCTGTCAGAAAAATGGTGCTGATAAACTGCTCACATCACTGCAGCACAGGCATGCCCCTAACCACAAAACCTTGCAAAAGGCATCAGCCTGCCAAGAGAAAAGGCTTTGCCTTCAGCAGACTGGCATAAAACAAAAAACAAAGAAACCTCAATATGTCAGCTTTGGATAATGCCCTTCTCCCGATTTGAACATAGAAAAAAAAAAAAAAACTTCACACGTATTGAATCTCATTCTTTCAATGTGTGAATTTTGCCTTGAGAATATGGTAGCAGGCATAGTATTCCAAAAGCAAGTCTTTGTCTGTAAAACATTCTTTTCTGATAGAATTTTAAGAATGGGTCCTCAGACCACTTTCTAATTTCAGTCATACAAGGTTTTATTGTTCTTTGGAGGTTAAGCCCAATTCCACTGGGTAATTTTGACCTTTGTCTATTTGTTTTATTAACTAAAGTGACAACATAAATACCTTTACACAGTGCAGTGTGTACACATGAGTCTGTGTATATCTGTGCATGTGTGTGGATGAATTTTCTGCTAGTCCACTGTTTTTGACTTACCAAAATGGTATTTTATATAGTTTAACCTCATATGTACCAGAAGCGCTTTGTGCATATTAAATGTGCAATGTACACTGTAAATCTGCTTTATGCCCTGAGAGAATATGATGTCATACTTCCTACCTCCCTCCTTCATAGTTCATTGTATTTTACATCTATCCTTTATGACACAGCAAAGGATGTAGATGCTAATGTTGTAGGTGCCAACAGCATTCCTTCAACTCAACTAGCAACAAATGGCATGAAAATGTCCAGACACCATCTTCAGAATCTGTTACATGTCAATAAGTTTGTCCTCAAAGCAGACTTGTAGAACACTCTGCTGACTTTGCAGGATCCCTTGAATGCTATCAAGAAAATAGGAATCCTGAGCCAACAACTTCTTCAGAAACAAGAAAGCTCCATAGCCTGACATGCATTCATCAGAATTAAGAACTGAGAGTGGTTGCTGGGTGTGAAAAATGAACACTCGTCTGATGCAACTGAACCAGTGAAAGGAGGACTGATTACTCAAGCCAGTGAGCTGGTGTAACATTTGAGCGCCTGCTAAGGAGCACATTTTATCAATGCAGCATGGCTCTTCTACGGCTATAAAATGCAGCTTCTTGAGTGTTTATATGCAATCTGACTGCCTGGGTTAAACCCTCACCTTTACCAGTTACAGCTGTGAGGCTTGGTGCAAGTTGCTTAACCTCTCTCTGATTCAGCTTCCAATCTAAAAAGGAAAATGAGAGTAATATCTGCTCTCTACATTGTCTATAATGAAACGATGAGTTAATACACTGTAAAGTACTAAGAACAAGGCCCGGCACGTGATAAGCAATTATAAATGATAGCTATTATTATTGATTCGATGTTATTGTTCTCATTCATTTTAAGGCCCCATGGTTTTGTCCTACATTTTTTTGCAGAAGAATCAGGGGGATGGAATCTTGATCTTAGTGGTTTTTGCCCGAGGAAAGAATTATTCTTGAACACCGTCTTGCCACCTACCTATTTTCTCCTATTTTCAATTGCAAAATATGTCAGCATTTAATTACAAGAGGGAAAACTGAAACACAGCTCCTTTGCAAACATTTAAGTAACGCCTATAGAAATACACATTTCTACTGTGTAGGAGAGTTCATGCAATCATAAGACGGGGTCCTCATGAGGTTGCTAGACTAAACAGACCCAACTCTGATTTCAGAACATGCTGTGGCAGTGCTCTGAGAATTGCATAGGTGGACTCTGAAGCAAACTCTAAAAGCAAACCACAGCCCACGTCAGATGAGGATTTTAGAAAGAGAGCAATGCTGAAAAGCTTCATTGGAAATCAGGCTTTAGGCTCCACTAGCAGAGGAAGACATTATGCCATCAGTGACATTATCATTGCACAAGAAACAAAGATATGGTAGCTTCAGCGAAGAACCTGGATCATTGTAATTTTCTGGAAATTGAAAGGAGAAAACATTTTGATTGTCTGAATGCAGGGATGAGAACAAAAAAACAAACAAACAAACAGAAAAAACCAAACAGCTGTAGATGTGGTGGATAAAAACAAGTCTTTGGCCAGGTTTGGTGGCTCACGCCTGTCATCCCAACACTTTGGGAGGCCGAGGCAGGTGGATCACTGGAGGCTAGGAGTGCACTCCAGACTGGGTGACACAGCAAGACTCCATCTCAAAAAAAAAAAAAAAAAGTATTTATTTTAGGCTAAGACAAAATGCCACCTATACTCAAAGACCTGGCAGTTCTAGTTGAGAGACTTTCACTCACTTCCAAGCACATCTGGTAGAAAAGCAAATAAGACTTTAAAAAATCTTTTCAAGTGGCTGGAATTTGTTTCAATTCATAGCAACACATACAGAACCATTTCACCAAATTTCTCTTTTATAAAATACTGGCTATATATACAGGAATACAGAATTAAATTTTGTCATTTAAGACCTCCTCAAACTAACCAATTGAGTCATAGTAATTAGTTAGGAAAGTCATGTGCATCTTGTATTCTCATTTGACACTGGAAGATATTGTTAGCATCAGTAATTGATTCTGAAGATACTGGGGCTATTCAGGATTGATAGCTTTTCCCTGACTCTGTACCCAGCACAGGGTCTCACACACACATTGTTAGTCAATTGACTAGATGTCTAATTAGTTGGCCATAACATAATATCATGCTTATGTTCCGTGTTTCCTTTCTGAACAATCCTCACCCCAGGGAGTCCTCTAGAAGCCTAGAGCAGCAAGTACTCCGTTAGGTATCTTATTTTGAGGCATCTGTCTCAGAGCATATGAATACTCAAAACAGAATCAACTTTCATATACCCAAAGTTGCATATTAGAGTGGCAGTAGGCTATTATTTTTTATATATACATGCTCATTTAATTTGTAAAGTTTATATAATTCATATATAATAATATATAAATGTATATATTTATTAGTCACCCAGAAATAACAAATAAAACACACCTACAGAAATGATGCAGGATAACTAAAATTAAAATGGAATAGTTAGGGCCAAAATCAGGCAATGAACCAAAAAACAAAAAACAACTAGTCATATGTCATATGCTTAAAAATTAAGAAAAGCCAACACAGCGACAAGAGAAGCTGGCTGCAGATACCAGCAACTCCAGCATCTGCCTCCTCTTTCCATTTTAAGCACTGTTCAGAAGCAGAAAATTCAAATTTAAGCTATGATAAAGGCATTCAGCAAGACAAATGAGAGAAAAAAAGATTTGGTGAACAAAATATTAAAAAAAACACCCCTAGTCATGTTATCATGTACAGGTTGAGCATCTCTCATCTGAAAATCCAAAATCCAATATGCTCTAAAATCCTAAACTTTTTGAGTGCCAATATGATGCTCAAAAGAAATGCTCATTGGAGCATTTCAGATTTTTGGATTACAGATTCTCAACCAGTATAATGTAAATATTCTGAACTCTGAAACAATCCAAAATCTTAAAACACTTCTGGCCCCAAGCATTTCAGATAAAGAATACTCAACCTGCATTTGTGTGATTTGTGTGTGTTTATATATGTGCATATATGTATATAAGCATGTGTATTACTGTATATGTATATAACACTAATTTGTGTGTGTGTATATATATATATAACTATACATATGTACACATTATATAATATATATTTGTAGTTAGTGAAATGAACTACAAGATAATTAATTTTCTATGGTGGCAACTAGAAGATAACATAATTTTCAACAATGTGAGAAATAAATTGACAGCCAGAAAACCCTCAGAAAACTACCTGAAGGCACAAGTGAACTAAAAGTTAACTTAAACATTAGAAATTAGAATTATCATGACATAAATTTAGGAAGACCCTGATATTCTGAACTGAGCTATGATGAACAGGCCTTCTATGGAAGAGGCCGCTAACAAGCCTTCTATGGTAGAGGCCTTCTATGGCAGAGGCTGTTTTCCAATACCCAGGTTTTCCTTTCTTCGTTTTGGCAAGAGCAACTTCTGAGTCTGTTGGTTGAACTCTTGCATTAAGCTACATTTTCCAACTTCCCTTGCAGCTAAGCATGGGCATCTGTCTCAGTTCTGGCCAAAATAGAATGTGAACATCTGTGATTTATGAAAGTTCTGCATTATGTCCTTCAAGGGAAAAATTTCCTCCCACTTTCTTCTCCCTCCCCACAACTGGAATGAGGACATGGTGCTGTAACCCATGTTCAGACATACAAGTACTTTAGCATATGGCGGAACAACATAAAAGAAGCCTGGACACCTCAACAACCAAATGGAGTAGGGTCACATTAAACTGCCCTCTGGTTCAGAACTTAATATGAAAAACAAACAGGCTAGGCACAGTGGCTCACACCTGTAATCCCATCACTTTCAGAGTCCAAGGTGGGTGGATAACTTGAGCTCAAAAGTTCAAGGCCAGTCTGGGCAAAATGGCGAAACTCAGTCTCTCCAAAAAATACAAAACTTAGCCAAGCATGGTGGCGCACGCCTGTAGTCCCAGCTACTCAGGAGGCTGAGGTGGGATAATTGCTTGAGCCCAGGAAGTTGGGGCTACAGTGAATCATGATTGTGCCACAGCACTCCAGCCTGAGCGACAGAGCAAGACCCTGTCTCAAACAAAAAACAAAAAACCTCCATCTAGTTTAAGTCAGTTTTATTTGGACGCTGTGAAAGCAGCCCTGTCAACATTCTAGCAAGTATCAGCATCTGTTTCAGTGTGGTGTTTCAGACCCAATAAGCAGGTCTACTTTTGAGAAAATTCTGGAGGGTCATAGAAGTAAAATTAAAGTGAGGATGCAATCTGGCATTGACTTATACATATTTCTTTTAAAAAAGTAAAAGACATTGGGGGTTTCCCAGACAAAATACATGATTAATAATAGGCATTTGTTGCTTCAGAGACTTCATGGGTTAATAGTTAAACTAAGTCACCAACAAACTTTTCGGAAAAAGCAGGTAACTTACACTAGGAACAATTTTGTCAGTCATAAAAAAGGAAAATATACTTTTTATGAAACTAGGTAAATCACAGGCCAAGGGAAATCATAACCTATCATTCCTAGAAAGCTTAAAAACAACTGAAAATCGCCTATTCTTTGGCCTTCAGCTTGTGCTGTGCTGTAAGCGCTGGGCTGGAATGCAAACCTTCCAGCCCCACAATCTTACACTCAGGACATGGGTGAACACTCACAAGCTAAAGAAATGAGTAACAACAGAAAATTAAACCACATAGTTTAATTTATATGAAGAATCTATTCTGTAGAGGTCAATATATCACTATATAATTTCCCAGAGAATTAATATTTAGTATGAAGAGCTTGAAGAAAATAGGTTAGGACTCTTTCTGAAGTTAGAGGACTCACATAAACACATTTGCAGATATTTACACTTCCAAGTAGGAACACTTAACAGAGAGCAAAATATTTACTTAAACAACCTCGAAGGGTAAATCTCTTTTAAAAGAATCAACTTTTAATTACTGTTACCTAGATTATAAAACCAAATACAAGTACTTGTAGCTTCATACAGATTTTCAAAATAGTCTAAAATGTTTTGTTCCCTGGAAACAACAAGTTTTCCAATGGGCTATGTCCTTTCCAATTCAAATGAAGGTGTTGTCCTCTGGAGCTTTTAAATATCCAAGGTGAAGTCAAGCCTTTCATCCTCTGTACTTTCTGGCACTTCCTGAATATTCCAGTATCCACCTAACCCTGTCATCACTGGCTTGCCCACCCCCATTCCCGCTTAACTAGGAACTCCTCAGGAACAGCCAGAGGTGGAGTCTCACAAAAGCATGGACTCTAAGGACAGACAGGTTTGAATCCAAGTTCCAGCAAATCATATGTGTGTGGCCTTACACGTGTCACTTAACCTTCCTGACCCTTGTCTTTAAAATAGATGAAATGATTAAATGGCTGGCTGTGAGGATTAAATGAATTAATACATGATAAATTTCTCAGCTCAGTACCTGGAACATAGTAAGTACCACTTAAGTGTCACATCAGTCTCTGACTCCATAGGTGCCTGAGAAAACTGCCTTTGAACAGAACAGAGGATTCCCATCATAGTAGGCCAAGTTCAGGGACAGTGTATCTCTCCCAAACAAATGTTGCTTATTAAAATATTTTAAATTTTCCAGTGAAACATAACTAAAACGCTGGGATGATCACACCTCAACAAAATTATCTCATGGGCTTATCAGAGAAGAGTCCAGAATAATGGTCTAGAATGCATCAATCTTAGCTCAGATGATAGCTCCTTCTGGAAGACCTGGAACTTGAAATCTAAAACACTGTTTTTCAGAATGTGCATTAATTCATCCAACCAAGAAAAACCAGTGCTATAGTTTTCAGTCACTTCTTTATTGCAGAGCATCTCTGAAATGTCCTTTCTTTTCTGCCTCACCTGTTAACTCCCATTATTCCTACTCCTGCGAATAGTAGGGGCATGATTATTACATGAATAAAACTTCAGTTTAAATGCAAAGCTTCACAAGAAAAGCACCCGAAAAACCTGTTTGTGTCTGTACTGTGTCAGTATCTTTAATTATCAAAAACTTTAGTATTTTCATTCTTGGAAAATTACTTAGACGTTATTCCCACATGGAAAAATCCATAAGAACCTCTTTCAAATACCCAGAACTGCAATCACCCTGCCTTAGTTTATGTTTCCCTAGAAGCAGTGGCTGTGACAAGGATTTGAGCATAAGTAAATTTTTTTTCTTTGGAAATAGGTAGAGATGCTGATGTTTATGAATTCATGAGACCAAAATAACACTGAAAGCCAATGAGAAAATGCCCCTTGGCAGAGCTTACACTTTTATTTAAAAAAAATGAGAGAACATTAATGGTCTTATTCTCTTTCAACTATAAATCAAACACTTCTACTTGAAAATAATCAGGAAGTCCCCAGTCCCCAGGTTCCAAGGACCCTTGGAGTCCCCGTATCAGAGAAGAGCTGCCAATTAAAGATTTTCCCAGTAATAGTTTGTAAGATCTCATTCATTTAACAAACATTTGTATGCTATTTATGATACATAAATCATAATTTATAGTAAGAAATCAACTATGTGATTATTGCCTAATATGATCCACCTACTCTCTCTATACAAAGCCTATTGTTTATAATTTCCTTTGGATTGATTATAGATTTAGAAGTTTGTTGGGAACTTTTGCCTGACTCTTACGGAAAATATCAAAACTGAATACATGTCTTTCATTAGATTTAATTAGTGTGACTTCTATAATGGTGTGTAAATAATCCTTGTCACGTAGTTTCACACACACACACACACACACACACACACACACACACACACCCCTACCAGTTTAGAGACTGTGAACTAGGACTAAGTTCTGTTCATAATTTTAAAACCGTCTTTACTTACCTGTATTAATCACAGTAGTCTAGCCCAGTGTTATGATTATAGCAGTCACTCTGTAAAAATCAGTTTAATTCAGTGAAAAAGCAATAGTACATATGTTTTTCTTGATTTAGAAATCAACATCATACTTCTAAATCTTCAGTTTTCTCACTTAACTCTTCCCTCTAGATAAGTATATTTTAAAGGATAGTTGAATAGAGCATAAAAATTAGTAAAAGCATCACTATATTATAATTGTTGATACATTAAATTAGCCAGATTTTTTTTTTTTTTGGCAATGACTAAGCATGGTATTAGGTTAAGTGAACTAGGCTTGCAAATACCAATAAGGCCCTATGATGATGAAAGGTAATCATTAAATGTAATGGTTAAAAAAAGTCTGCAAATTCCTTGACAATTCTTCCATCAAGAGGTAAAATCGATGCCCCTTCCTTGAATATAGGCTGCTTTAGTGACTTGCTTCTAACCTAGAGAAGCCTAGATTGTGAAGGGCAACACAGCTATTGCCTGGTGCTCCCTCATAGGACATGAATCTTTGGAGCCTTGAACCTCCGAATGAGAAGCCCTACTATCCTGAATCCATCCTGCTGGAGAGGCCATAAGGAGAGAGTTTATAGGAATAGACACCAATGCCCAGCTGTTTGGGTCTCCCTAGACAAGACAACAGATATGTGAGTGGGGAAGGAAGCTTTTGAGATGCTCTAGCCCCAGGCATCCTCTGAATGCAGATTCCTGAGGGACGTGGAAAGATTATTATCTAGCCTGGACTAGTTGACCCACAGAACCACAATAGATAATAACAACAAATGATGGTTATTGTTTTATACCACTAAGTTTGGGATGTTATGTTATACAGCAATTGATAATTGGAACATTGTGTATTTTATAAATAAATTTTCCTATAAATACCTTATAAACAACTTAAAATATCACTGACTATATTTTAGAAAGAACACAAAACATATCCGAAAGAAAGAGAATGACCAAATCCCGCAAGCTGTGCATATAATCAAGTTTATGCTGGCTTCAAATCCCTCTTGGGACTGTGTCTCCAAAGCAATCAGTTAACTGAGATTTATAGGAAACCCTTTTCATTCTGTGAGCTGGAGATCGGGCTGCATCAGGAAGCTTCTTTGAAGAGCCTCACCTTCTAATGAACAAGAGCTGTTCTCTTCAATTCTAACACAATGTGAGGTATATTTTTTATGTCAGTTCTGTCAAAGCTTGACATGCGGTACAGCCTCAAACAATTCAACACATGTCGTCTGGTCAGTAACAGCTACTTCCTTTCCTCTGACAGATGAAGTAAGCTGCCCACTCTACCAAGCAAGGGAGAGTTCTGAGAAAGTTTTCCAAATTGATGCCTTCTTCTGTCATGTTTAATTCAAAACTTTGGAAGTAAATTTCTGCATTCTTTCACTTTCTGAGAAATGCTTTCTGTAGATTTGGATAAGTGTTTTTCTACTTGATGTCTGATGATCTAAGGCTCTTAACAAACTAATTTAAGAAATGCTTGTGGAATAACTTCTATCTTTTCATTCAGTTTTTATAACCATCTTCTCTCTTGGAATTTAATGAGTTTTTTTTTTTTAACCTTAAGGGCACTATCAGCAAGAACTATTAAGATTCCAGTGTAATATTCTACCTACTGATTTTTTTTAAAAATTTTACACTTTACTCCTTAGCTGGTGTATAAAATACTTGACCTTGTAGGATGGGGCTAAATAATCTTGGACTGCAGGGAAAAAAGACACATGGGGATGGGTTGATAGAAGTAAGAAAAGGACAGAATGAAAATATCAGAAAATAATTTGAATAGCTTCAGTAATTTAATTTTTGTAATATTATGGTAGATGTCTTCTATAAAGTCCTCCCAGAAACACACTGAATTAGAGCTGAAGTGGAGGGAGATTATCTGGGGAAAGGAACCCCAGGAAGCAATGACAGGTGAGCAGGAATACAAGACAATGAAGAGAAAGAAGCCAAAATAAAGAATATTAATAAATAGGCAACCATTGTTGGCAATGGGGGCTCAGTTCTGCTGGGGAATTCTAGATCAGGAGAACATGCCTCAGATCCGCCCCTACTAAAACCTGATGGACCTGGGGTATTTTTCTATCAAATCCCTTAGTAACTAGTGGACGGCTGCTTCCAGAAGCTTTAATTCCTTGATACTTTCAGCATGCCCAGCATGTAACTGAAAACATTGTGGAACCCAGAGAAATCTCTTAGAAAGCCACAGGTACTTATAACAAGATGCTAGCAGTATATACTGCATGCCAAGGGAATGTCTATCGAGGGGACACTGACATGTCGGCTATGATGACCAAAGTCCTCCAGAACCCAATGCGGGGGAGAGAGGAGACAAAGGATGGTGGCATTTAATGTGGGATTTTTACTTATTTGGGAATATTTTGGTGACTTGGTAACAAAGTTTTAGACCTTGCACTGTTATAAAGCCAGTCTAAGTTTGTTGTTGATCTGTACCCATGATATTTTGTGTATGTGATTTTGAGGACTATGGGGTACCGGTAAAATACTTAAAGGAATTTCTGATCTCTTTGGCTTGTTATCAGAATCCTACTGTTCCCATCCCAGGACCCATATCACTCCCCCAATGTCTTCAAAGGTTCTCCTAATTGCCAGGGCAGGAAGAATGCTTATTTTAAAAGTTGATTTTCATTAACAGATACCAAATTCTTAGGCAGCAGATCATGGAAGTTTATATGAGGAAACTGAGGACTGAAAAACAAATGAACGAAATGCTTAGAACACAACAATAAGAGGTATGATGAATACCAATTAGGAAACAGCAAAAGGGCTGCCTGGTTTAAAATCTATTTCAAATCAGTTTTTCTCACATGTGTTTACATTGTGCTATAAAAAGGGAACATGTATAAACCTATGCAAACAAAAAAAGGAGAACAGTTTTGCAAATTGTGAGTATTGCACGCTGTCTTTTTTGAATGCTGCAGAATTAGCTTACTACCTAAACGGTTTATTTCAATTATGTTTGCTAACACAGAAGTACAGAGTATGAGCCGAACATTGAGGATGACAGAAAAATATTGGAATCCATTATACTTTTTTCTCCTCTCTCTCTTTCTTTCTTTATCTCCCTCCCTGTTTTACTTCCCTTTCTTCTTTCCTTCCTTTTCTATTTTCCCTTTCTTTCTTTTCCTTCCTTCCTTTTCTTCTCTTCTTCTTCCTCTTCTTCCTCTTCTTCTTTTCTTCTTCTCTCTTTCTTTCTTTCCTTTTTCTTTCTTTTCTTTCTCTCTCTTTCCCTCCCTCCCTCCCTCCCTCTCTCCCTCCCTCCCTTTCTTTCTTTCTTTCTTCTTTCTTTCTGTCCTAATATTACAAGTATTTTGCATTAAAACTGTTTTGCATTCCTTGATGACACGTGAATGGATGGCAAAGGAAAGTCTTATTAGATATGTACCAAATGACTTTGTCAAGACAAAGCCAGAGAAGGATGAAAAACACCCATGGAACAACATGCAAGTCATGGTTTGGTTTTCCTGAGAGTTGGTTCAAAGGAAGAAAGCCAGAATTACAACAGTGACCACATATGGAAACCCTAACTGAAGCCACAGCTGTAGAATAGGGGTTTAGGGTTCTGAGCCTGGAGCTTTCCTGCCTGAGGGCAAATCTTGCCATTGCCATTTATTAGCTGTGTCACTTCGGGACACACAATTAATGTCTAGGAACCTAATTTCCTCATCTCCAAAATAGGGAAGTTTATATTACCTAATACTTACCTCCTAAAAATTAACTGTGTTACCAGAAGGGAGCTCCTAGAACTGAGTCTGGCATGTAACAAATAGTATTAACTGCTATTACGTGGATGTTTTGTAGTTGATACCCACAGTCCTCAATTTCATATGTATATGAGTCTGTGTTACTCTGAAAGATTACAGTGTGAAAAACACACTTTATTAACAACAACACAATAACAACATATAGAGAAGCATATTTACTCATTCATCATATACTTAGTGAGAAAGTTATGCATTCCCCTAAATCCTGGGATATCTAGGCAGCCAAAATGCCATGCCCCCGGACCTCACATGTCTCATCTTCTTCACCCAAAACCTCGTGCTAAACACTTTCTTTCTTTTTTTAAAAAATTTTATTATTATTATACTTTAAGTTTTAGGGTGCATGTGTACAACGTGCAGTTTTGTTACTTATGTATACATGTGCCATGTTGGTGTGCTGCACCCATTAACTCATCATTTAGCATTAGGTATATCTCCTAATGCTATCCCTCCCCCTTCCCCCCACCCCAAGAGGCTTCTCCTTTCCTCCCAGTGTTGGATAGTGACATTATGTATGCTGGTTCACTCCCATGTCTTGGTGGTAAATAAGGAGAATCTTTATTTCACTAGAGTAATGCACCTCCATGGGGTCACAATAAGAAAAAGAAAAGCATGAACTCTCCTTGTTTATCTAGCCAAGGTTGGAATAAACTGTTCCAAGTCAGCTTGTGAATAGCTCTGGTGGACTACATAGATGGCCCTAAGTCACCCCCTCCTTCTTGTACTCAACACCATTTGCCTTCAAAAAGTGGAGTCTTCATTCTAGCTAGCTTTGCAATTTTTTTTTTTCTTTGCCAAGAATGCACCAGAGTGACAGTGTGTCATGCTGAGCCTAGGTCTCAAAGGGCCTGATGCTCTCCACTCTCTCTCAGAGCCCTGCCCAGCGACCATGTGAACAATCTTGGGCTAGCCTTCTGGATGATGAGAGACACATGACCCAGTCACCCCATCACAGAAGTCAGCTACTCGCCAGACATATGAGTGAGCCAGCCCAGAAGACCAGAATTGCCCAGGTGATCCCCACTCAAATTTCCAACCTACAGATACATGAGCTAAATAAATGCTTATTATCGTAAGCCACTGAGGTTGGGAGTAATTAGTTATGCAACATTATTTGGCAGTAAATAACTGATGCAATAATAGAAGTAAGATTTCAACACTAGGTTTTGTGACTCTAAGACCCATGTCCTAGAAGCTGTAAGAAAGCAGTCATTGCATAATTAAACATATGTGTATGGGTGCCTATATATAATACACACTACATTACTAAAAGATAAGTTGAGTAGGTATAAATGTAATACAGCTAAACACAGACTACTTTAAGTGGCAGTGGAAGGAATTAGCTGTTGGAAGGGCTGGTAAAAAGATATCACTTTTACCAAACAAAAAAGAGTGACAATTTTATAAAAGTAAGAAGGGATGACTACTCTCACTTTTGACACTTAATAGATTATAAATCATTATTTTTAAGGATTTTATTCTCTGACTATTGTATTATTTGAACATCAGACCACAAAAATATGCACAAAAGTAACCATCTTATTGGCCCACTGAAAACATTTATTTTTTCAATTTTTTCTTAGTTGCTTTTCCAGGAACATAATATTGTCACACAACCCAAAAAAAATAAACACAGGAGTGGGTATAGACAGAATGAAATACAGTGCCCTTGGATAAAAATGATAATAAAACTTCATTATTGGTAATCATTCAACAAACATTTTCCGTGCATCTTCTATGTGGAAGGTATTGTGCTAACCTCTGAGAACTCAGGGATGAATAAAACAATCTCAGCGCTGTCCTAATTTCTGTTTTATTTGTACAACAGAGAAACAAGCTGGATGACTACCAAAGAAAAAGGGGGGGGGCAATTTCTATTTCTATGAAATGAAAGGTTCAGAAGGCCTAAAATATCTGCATATCTGCATTTGACTAGTCAAAATGGTCTTAATTCAGGTGCATTACATTATTTGAAAGTTTCATTCCTCCCCCTTCTCCCACTAGAAAATCAGGTTAGGAATTAATAATGAATGTGGTAGACTGTAAGGTCAAAAAGGAAAATACATATCTCTGACTTTTAAAAGTCAAAAGACTTTTAAGTCCTAGAAGTCATATAACATCATACACTGTCTAAAAATTTACAAAATAATTTTTTGATTAAGACCTAGTTATGAATACTAGGATGCATCACAGAGATAAGGCTTAAGAGAAATAATATCTGGTTGTAACTGCCATTTTACTTATGAATTCCAAGTTCAGTGTTGGTCTCTGTATTCCAATAAAGAAGTTGAGATGTTAGATAAATTTCCAAAAAAAAAAAAGAAAAGAAATAATTCTTAATGAATTCTCAATGGAAGAAAAATAAATGTTGCCAGTAGTGCCCAGGAGAAAATAATTTTAAAAAAAGAGAGTTTCAAACAAACTAAAAGAAGAAAGATGAATGGGTTATTTAATAATTGACTTTAAAACTATGAAGCTTTATGGTTACAAGGTCAACACTAACTCTTTTCTTTATTTCTACAATGAATAAAATAGACAAAAACCTTATTAACTGGAAATAAGGATAATGATTAGTGAGAGCATACACCAGCAGAGGCTGTTGATCCTCCCACTCTGAACAGCACTAAGAATAATCTGGATTGGATGTTGAGCTCATCTTCACAGGTCAATTCTGGTCAAAACTGGGGCATAAGAATGCCTTAGAATTTGCATTTTTCTTTTGATAATACTAAGGATTTGCAAGTGCCCTGATTGCATAGATTTGCATGGTGTTGTGTGTGTGTGTCGGGGGGATGGGGGGGTGTAAATTACTCACTCAACAAATCTTGCTGAGTACTAGCTTGTGCCAAACACTCCACTAGTGATGAAAGACAGCCTGTGTGATCAGAGTGGCACAGCCCCTCCTACCATGGGGCTCACAATCTATGATGGTGGATGTTGCTAAAATAAATAATGACCCAAACGGGACTTTGATTACAGACATCCAGAATCATCCATTCTGGGGATAGGGCCCAGTAATCTGTGTTTTAAGAGGCCCTCCAAGGGAATCTGATGTACCCTCAAGTGTGAGAACTTTATGTGTTTCTAAAGCACTTTTATGCATTCTATTATCCACAAAACCTTAGACTCTATCCACTTCTCATCCCCATTCTTTGATGTCATTCAGCCTCTATCCCTGCTCACCTACATTACTGTCATGGCCTCCCAGCTCTTCTCCCTGACTGTATTCATTCACTCATTCATTCATTCATTCACTTAGCATTTATTGCCATCTATTATGTGTTTGAAATCCACTGGTGAACAAACCAAAGAACTTCATCTTGGTGGGTTTTACTTTCTTGTTTGAGGGTATCTGGGCCGGGGGTGGGTATAGACAGAAAGTAGGCAAACAACATAAAACATAATAAATAAATAAATTTTTTATGAGAGAAGGTGATAAATGCCGTGAGGGGATAAAACAAGAGTCCTATGATCCCCAAAAGGGACTGGGGATCTGTACTAACTGGTCTGCCTTGAATCCTCCCAACCAGATCATGTTATAAATGAGGAAAAAAATTCAACTTCCCACCCCTCGTCTTTCTGTCTCCCAAATTTTGATCTCTTTCATTGTCATGGCAGTTATATCACTGATTCCTTGGAAAAGTAAACCCGGAGATAGGGGTTTGTATATAGGCATTTATTAGAGAATAGTTCTGGGATTAATAACTATGGAAGGGAGTAGTTGGGGTAAAAGCAGAAGTTTGGCTGTGTTACAGTTGCCATAGAAGTCTCGGCCAATCTCATGGGAACTCCGGGTTGAGACTGACCAACAGAACTGTCCTGAATTGGCGTGAGGGGCTGGGTCTTAAATATTGGATAAGCACTAATTGATTGTATGCTATAAAGAAGGAGTCATTACAGGCAAGATCGCTCTCTCCAGGCTAGGTGAATTCCCAGCAAGGAAATTGTCAATAAGAGACTGTGAAACTGTGCCAAGTGTCTTTCAGGACTGGCTCATTCACTGATTTTGAGGGGAGGGGATGGAAAAAAATGTGTCTAAGAGCATATAAACACAATTTCTTTGAGCTTTCTTGGAACTTTCTGTCCTGCCATATTCAGAAATAACATCTTCCCCCAGAATGTCCAACAAATGTTGATCTGCAGCTTGAGCGCTTTGTAGAGTTAGCAGTGTCAGAAACATAAGTGGGTCTTTGCATGGAAGGAGCCAGCTCTGCCAGATATCAATAAAGCATACAAGTGCTTATTCAAGGTGAGTAAAACTGCCAAGATTATAATTGCTGGTAACTGGAAGTAGGCAAAGAAATTAATGTTGCTGAATAGCGTTCAACCCCCTGAGAGCTGGCAGATTTAGTTAAGATTGCATATCATTAGAAAAACAGGAGTGAAAACTCCAATCAATATGGTCAGCTTTCTCTGAAATCCATGAGTGGTCAACGGTTAACACAGTAAACATTTAATTCCATCACTTACGGTTGCCCTTTGCCCTCAGCATCTGACTTCAGCAGCCCTAAGTGTTTAGGCAAACACTCAGGCTTCTTTCCCTTGCCTACGCTCATTTTGGCTTGGCTGGCTGTCTTGGGGCAGAATAGCAGGAAATATGTAAGCAAGACCGGCAGACACAAGAAACTTAATGAAAGTAGGCAGTAAGGTGACAAAATTACAGACTAAGAGCTGGAAGGGACCTTAAGGATGAAAAAGCCCACCTTCCTCCCTCATTTTATACATAAGAAAACTAAGAACACAAGAACACAAGTGAGAAAGGGTAAGTGATTTTGGCCAAGGTTACACTTCCAGATCTTTTGACTTGAAGGCCAGTTATTTCTCTTTCTGTTGTACCACATGGTCACTAGAGGAGTATGGTGACTCTTCAAAATGTGTCAGCTTAACTAGGGTTAACAAGATTTCCCACTGTTTATGATTACCATGAGCCACAAGAGACATTTTGCAGAAAATCTGGAAAAACAAACTAAAGTGTCCCCACTTCTCTTCCCACTCAGGTCAGGGCAGGTGCCCTTTGTCACTTTTTTGGTGGCTCACTTATTTTGCATGCAATTGCTTCACCCTTTTCTGTCCCTACATATATGTTACTTCCTCGGTCAGACATATGTTCAGCTCCATGACGAAGGAGCCAGCTTCTCCTACAGGATCCCTGCTTAGTCCAAGGATGGAAGAAGTAAGAACTGACCTGAGTTCCAGTCTGTTCTCCTAAGGTCTGGCTCTAGCTCATGAGCCCAGCTTGCCTTGCTCTCCCCCACTTTATATCCATCCTTCCTTCCCTGTTGGCTTTGAGCTCCATCCTCAGATGTGAAGACTACAGACTCATAGGGACTGTTTAATAGCTTCCACAATTGCATAAGGTCAAATCCGGTAACCAATCTTGATTAGTGGCTCTGTGTCTCTAATTAAATATGACTGAAATAAAGTGCCAGTAGCTGGCAAAATCATTGCTCAAAGTTGTTCCTGGTATCATAGGAATAGCCTAGCTCTCTGTTAGGCCCAGGGTCACTCACCTCCCCTTCCTCTCATCAACTGCCCTCATCTAAGATTTCAAATGGAGGAGTTACATTGTATCTTAACTTTAAAGGTATGTTTTACCTATTTGTAATTTTTACCACTACTTAATAAAAAATAGTAGCTAGTATTTTATTCAGTGCTTACTATGGGCCAAGACAAATGCTAAGCGTTTTGAGTATATTAATTCATTAAGTCCTCAAAACAACCCTCATTTGGTGCCATTTATTAGCACATAGGGAAACTGAGGCAGACAAAGGTTATATAGCTTGCCTAAAGTCACAGTGATAGTAATCAGCAGAACCAGAATTTGAAGTCAAGTCTGTTGGCTGAAAGCCCTTCTGTGGGCATAATACTGCCTATTATTAAGTGATTTTTCCTGAATATATGGCTTCTTACATATATTCTGATATTTTGCCATCACTATCATTTCCCTTCAATGAATATCATTACTATTTCTCCACTGAGCTTAGAAGATAAGATACAACTCCGAAAAAAAATTAAGAACTATTTTGGTAGTAAATATGAATGGCCTATCCCCTTCCTCTATTTATGGCAGACATTACTAATCTATGGTAGCTCTCATTCCAACTTTCCTAGTTATGGCTAGAGTTGTTCTTTATATAATTCTCCAAGACAGCTGTTACTAATGGACTGAAGATGACTCTCGAGATGCCATCTCAGATGTAGAGGAAGATAATGTTGGCAGAGACAAAGAAAAAAGGGATTAGCATAGAACTTTGAAAATGGAACTACCTGTCAATCAACTTACTATTAAACTCTTACTATACAATAAGCCTACTTCGGGAGAGTCAAGTAAGTATAAGACATGGTTCCTTACTTGAAGGAGCTTAGACTACATTGAAGCAACAAGACATTGTTATACAGATAAAAATAATCATGACTATAAAGTAATATAAAAACAAACTTGAACAATGACACAGATATTAGGCTTCCAGGAAAGTATAAACTTGAGCTGGGCTTTGAGGAATATTTTGGATTTGGATAGAAAAGAAAAACAGATATTCCAAGAAACAGAAATGAAGTGTTCAAAATGAGAAAGGTCAAGGTCAGTGAGTAGGAGCAAGATTCTGGAAAGAAAACAGAGAGAAAATGTGAAGTACATTGTAGCTTTGGGGTTCTAGCTAGTGAGTTTCATGTTTCACTTAATAAAATTTCCTATGTATGTATATTCTTGTATAAGGTAGATTTTCTCAATGTGTCCAATTCTTTGCTCCTCCCAGCATTCACATATTTGATCATTAATCTTGTATTGACCTCCTACAGTGACCTTATGCTTTACTAGGTGACATTCTTTAGTCAATAAGATCTTAGGAAGTAAGACACAGGTGGAGGCTTGAAAGGGTGTAAGTGCCTTGCTTGCTCTCATCTTTGCTCTTCTGTCACCACCATGAGAACATGCTCAGAGTGGCCTGCTGGAGAATGAGAACCATGTAGCTTCATTGTCTCCATCATCTCAAACACCAGCCAGCTGCCAGGCACATGCGAGCCCAGCCAGAACCAGAAGAACTGCCAGCTGAGCCCAGTCTATGTTGACAAACTAAAAATACCTGAGCTAATTTAATTATTTTAATTTGAGATAGTTTGTTACACAGCACTATTTTACAAATAGGTGATTGATATAGTTATCTTCTATTGCATCCCATTATATTAAAAAAAATGCTAGTGCTTTTTGCTTTAAGTAAAACTCATGCTGCAGGCAGGCTGAGAAACCTTCCGGGGCACCAAAATTTTATTTTGAAAAGAACTTATTTTCCTTTCCTTTCACATTTTATTAAATACAAATATACATGACATCATTTTCAACATAAGTAAATGCACAGAATAGTTAACACTTTTTCTGTGACTCTATAATGCCAAATATTTTGAAAAGGACAGCCACTCTTCAAACGGTGACAATTTCAAGCACAGGAGAGCTGACCAATGATTTAAGCCTTTTTTTTTTTCTATAGAGAAAAGATGGAGGCTTGTGGCTCTCAGGAACTACAAAGTCTCTGGCATATTCTAATAACTCAAGGTCAGAGTTTATATTACTTCAGTATGTGTCCCTTGTGTTGAAAGTTCTACAGATGGAATGGGTGTAAACGATGCCCTTTTAAGAAGAGCAAAATGTTAAAAATAAACATGCTTTGCCTTGTTTTTTCCCCTTCATTACTATGTGGGAGGGTCATTCCTCTTGGTTCTGCCTCATGTAAGAAGAGTGGCACTACCCAAGCACCGCATGCAGTAGCTTCACAGCAGGCAAAACATTAACATAGCCAACACCTAATTACAGGTACCCAAATATCCAGGTGTAATTTCTTCTTAGAGGCAATCATTGATCCTGTCTTAGATGCAAGCCTTGATCTCTTTGAAGGTCTGTTGAGATTCTTCACCATCTTCATGAAGAAGATAAATAAAGTGCAGTTTTTGGCCTGATCCCACAGAGAGCTCTGGACCATGAAAAGTACCATGGAGTCATTCCTAACTGTGGGAATGGGATAGTCCTGTAGGCTTTTGCGGGGTAGAAGAATTGTATGCGCGCTTGAGAAGCGGACGTGAGGAGGCGGGGAGAGGGGATGTCATTGGTGGGTGGGTAGATCTATAACCAACCCTGGCTAGATAACTTCCAGCAATCAAGGATAACTCTCTGAGAGTGAAGGCAGCTGTGAGTCTTCCCAACTAATCCTCACAGCAGCTGGCTCTAAAAGCACAGGCCAGGTGACATGGATCTGGATAGGCCACCTATAATATCATCTGCAACTCACCGTTATCTGTATATGCAAGCAGCATGGACTTAGAGGTTGAGCAGTGAGAGGGAAGAGGGGACATCAAAAGAGAAGAACATTCACAAGGCAGTTGGAGTTTAAAGGCTTGCTCTCCTCCTGTGTAGACATTATGCAAGGTCTTCTCATCACTCCAATTCTGGGCCCACAACTGTATATGTGTTTTTGTCAATTGTGGAATACAGACCAACCTTAACTTTAGGGCATCAATTGACAGCCACATTCCACAAGATTTGACTGCCTCAGCCACCACCTCCTTGGCCTCTTACCCAAGTTCAAGTGGCAACTTAAAAAAGCCAAAGTACTGGTAAGGGCAAAAGATCACTCCGGAGTTATGATAGCATTTCTGTGCTACTCCAAGGGCTTTCCGAATCACTAGACATGCCAATGTCTGACAAATGATACGTTTAATAGAGATGAACCCTAAGCTCACCCTGAGAAACAAGATTTTGGATGCCACCCAATCAGAGGCACAATCACAGATGCCTTTTCTCTCGTTTCTAAAAAGGAAGATGGATCAAAGTGAAGTACAAATGATCCACTTTCCAACTCAATCAAATCCTCCCTGACCACATAAAACTATAAATGAATGCAGAGCTTCAGGAAGCAGATATCTTCCCACATGGCTCTAGAGATTCACATAAGTATTTGAAATAGCAGAATAAACATATCTATTCATGATTTCTAAATTCTGCCAATTGAACTGCCACAAATCATACCACCTTTTCTCAGTTTCTAGTTTTTCTAAGTCTTTGATAACGATCACTCTAGATTTTACAATGAAGAACATTATTTTTACAGATTGTTTTTTACATTCAGGTAAAATTTATATACAGTGAAATGAATACATCCCAAGTGGGCATTTACAAGTTTTGATGAATGCACACACATAACCTAAACTCCTAACAAAATATAGACCATTTTTTATTCTTAAAAAGCCAAAAAATAACAGATGTTGGTGAAGCTGTAGAAAAAAGGGAAAGCTTACTCATTGCTGGTGAGAGTAGTATAAAACTGTAGCACTAATCACAACAGAAAAGACATGGCATCAACCCAGGTGCCCATCAGTGGGGGTGCATATACACCATAGAATACTATGCAGCAGCCACAAAAAATAACAAATCATGTCCTCTACAGCAACGTGGATGCAGCTAGAGGCCTTAATCCTAAGCAAATTAACACAAAGCCAGAAAACCAATATCACATGTTCTCACTTATAAGTGGGAGTTAATCTTGGGTAAACACAGACATCAAGATGGAAACGATAGACACGGGGGCTCCAAAAGGAGGGAGAGTGGGAGGGGGTCAAGGACTGAAAAACTATCTGGGTGACGGGATCAGCATCACACAATATATCCTTGTAACCAACCTGCACATGTAACCCCTGAATCTAAAATAAAAATGGAAATTAAACAAAACAAACAAAAGATAAATGATGATTAATGGACCATTTTCATCACCCTAGACAGCCCCCAAATACCCCTTTCCAGGCCATCCCTGTCCCAGCACCCAGAGGCAACTGCTGTTTCTTTTTTCACCATAGATTAATTTGGTTTGTCCTATAAATTCATCTAAATGCAATAAAACAGTATATACTCTTGGTAAAAGGCTTCTTTCACTCAGCATCATGTTTTGAGATTGATCCATAAGCTTGGGACTAACAGTTGAACTTCATTCAACTTTGTGTTGCTAAGTAGTATTCATTGGTGAAATTTACAACTAAACATTTTCCAGCTTTTGTTCAGATGATTCAAATTGATTAGAAAGCTGATTTCGATAATTTGTTTTAAAAACATGATTTCCTTTAAAGAAAATATTTCCAAAGGGATGGGGAAATTTTTTTTCCACTAGAGAGACCCACCGTAACAAAAACAAAAGCTCTGAAGGTAAACTCCTTGAAATCCATTTCTGCTCCACAACAAAACCACAACAAATCTCTCTTTTAATCACTGAAATGTTTGAAACTGATTAAAAGATAGTTGAAAAAAAAAAGAAAACACTAAAGATTACACAGTAGAAATTTTATCTTTAAGACTCATTGCTGACCTAAGAAAACCAATCAACCATATCAGTACTTAGGCATAGCAGTAGCAATATATAACCTGAAGAAAAATTCCCTGGGTGCTTTATTTCTGGCAAACTCCCTTAATTGGCTAGCGTGCTAATCCCTTTCTTAGAAGAACACTTAGCACTGGAAATGTGTGAGGCAAACACAAAAATACAAGTCCTGGTTTGGTATGCAAATCAGCACCATGGAAACCAGCATGGCATTGCTGAGCTCAGGGCAATCAGCAGGGAGCAGATGAGCTATGAATCAAAGCCCGAAGAAAACTGCTGTCAACGGAATTATGGACGCGATTGCTTCTCACCCTATAGCTGCTCCCTTTGATTCTGAACTAGGAGACTTAAACTTGACACTTCAATGGACTAGGTCATCATGGGACTTCTATTTCTCATTTGTAGTCCCAATTAACAAAACTATTAGCCAGTTTGAATATAGTTGTCCAAGTATGACATTGTTCTACTTACTATTTCCAGTCATAAGAAAAACACTGGTAGAAATCTGGAGGATGTTATGTTTTCTTATTCAACAACAAGAAGAATGCTTTTCCTATGTAGGCCATTACAGCGGCATAGGAATTCTCTTGTCCTTAGTTCTATCTGCAGGACCTTTGTAGACCAGTAAGGTCTTGTGCATTATTCGGGGGTAGGGAGGATTTCCCTCTGTGCCTCGTAGAAGGATATTTTCAAGGATTAATCAAATCATTTTTAGAAAAGCATACCCCCTTGTTCACAGAAGTCCTTCTCTTATCCAAGTGTCTCCCCCAGTCTCCTCAGAAAGAAAGCCATGGGCAACCTACTGTTGTATAAAACCAGAGATTCTCCCACCTCAGATTCTTCATTCCCAAAATAAAATGGGTCAGAAAAATACTATTCCTCCCAGCGCTAACAGTTGATGATCCCATGAACCACACTACTTACTAATTTACAATGTTTTTTTTCCCCCAATAATACTCAGTTCTAGGTCCACATTTAAAAAAAAAACTATATGGATTTTAAGTCAACAAATCTGAGATTTTTTAAATATTAAAAAGAAAAAAATCTATGAGTCCCTATCTGGGATTCAAAATGAACTACACTACAAAGGCAGAAGAAGTACAATGCTATGAATGGCAGACATTATTATTATTTTTTATTATTATTACACTTATTTAAGAGTTATGACCAAAAAGTACTGAGAGAGCACTGATTAAGCTATGGACGCTACCTGGGTCCAAATCCCACCTCTTCCACTTACTAGTGATCTCTGACAAGTTATGTAGCCTCCATGTATTTCAGTTTTCTCATCTGTAAAACAGGAACATTCATAGTTGTCCTTTTTTTTTTTTTTTTTTTTTTTGATATACGGAATCTCGCTCTGTTGCCCAGACTGCAGCGCAGTGGCACGGTCTCGGCTCACTGCAACCTTTGCCTCCCAGGCTCAAGTGATTCTCCTACCTCAGCCTCCCGAGTAGCTGGGATTACAGGCACCTGCCACCGTGCCCAGCTAATTTTTGTGTTTTTATTAGAGAGAGGGTTTCACCATGTTGGCCAGGCTGGTCTCGAACTCCTGACCTCAGGTGATCCGCTCACCTTGGCCTCCCGAAGTGCTGGGATTACAGGCATGAGCCACTGCGCCCGGCTGAACATTCATAGTTCTTTACTCAGAAAGTCCCTATGAAGATTAAATTGGTTAATATTTAAAAGAATATAAATAATTTGGCAGATGGTAAGTGCTATATATGTGTTTATTAAATAATAAATTAAGGGCAAGTATTTTGCTCAGAAAGAATTAGAATAAGGTCTTCCTATCTCATGTGGTTTTAATTGCTGGCTATAATATGAAAAACTGTCTCCTTACCAGGAGAAGGTCTTCTGCATAAAGCACAAAGCAGCAATGCATTTTGTTTATTTGACTCAAGTAAAAAGTTCAGGAATAACTACTTTGATATTTAAAGTTCTCTATAATGCAGACAACAAATAGCTCTAGAAAAGGAATAAACAGCCACAAGTCAAGTATAGGTGTTTTTGTTTTGTTTGTTTGTTTGTTTGTTTTGAGATGGAGTCTTGCTCTGTTGCCCAGGCTGGAGTGCAGTGACACTATCTTAGCTCACTGTCAACATCTGCCTCCCAGGTTCAAGCAATTCTCCTGCTTCAGCCTCCCGAGTAGCTGGGATTACAGGCGCGTGCCACTATGCCCGGCTAATTTTTGTATTTTTAGTAGAGACAGGGTTTTACCATGTTGGACCAGGCTGGTCTCGAACACCTGACCTCAGGTGATCCACCCACCTCGGCCTCCCAAAGTGCTGGGATTACAGGTGTGAGCCACCGTGCCCAGCCCAGTGTTCTTAACTAACAACATAATTAATGATTAATTGGGATTAGGTGGGGAAGTGCTGAACCAAAAATAAAAAACCCACCAAAAACCCTCAAAAACTAACAAAAAAAACCCCCACCAAACCAAAAGCACAAAAAGTTCAAAACCTCATTAACATTAAAATACTGTCTAAATGCTAAAGGTGGGCAGTCAGGTCGTCGACAGATTATTCCAATTGACAATCTGTAGTTAATCAATGGATTGTTCAATTATTTAATCAGCATTACCTCTGTAGGTTCAGTATCCATAATTCATTTGAAGCTGACACCAGAGAGAGAAGGAAAGTCATTTCTGCTTCATTATTTTAGAACCAGTTAAAGCTGAATCCAGAGACAGAGCCTTTCAACTGACCCCTCAGAATGCCCTGCCTGCACCCACACGTGCCCATGCCCACCCCCCTACTCCCACTCTTAGGTCTCCAGGCATGCTGCCTTTACAATAAACACTACCTTTAGCCATTGAAACGTGGAAGCTTTTGTTAATTCTATTTAAAGACTATGCAGGATGCCAGCTAAATGTCCCGTTTTACATCATCCCTCACCAGACCTGACAGTTGGAAACACTTAGTTCTGCTCTGCTTCCATTGTGTTCCTGAAGTCATTTGAATGATTTAAATCAGAGATAAGTATTTGCAAATGAGCTGAAGAAATAAAGATGTATCTGAAAACTCGAAACCACCTTGTTAAGAATGTGCTCAGTTCTAGCTTAATTCTTGAGGATTTGGTTAATGCTTGTAAATGGCAGCAGCAGCTCTTTTCTGATGGTAACATTTCATGGTTTAGCTTTTAAAGAGTCACCGCCTCCAAGTGTTTTTAAAAATTCCGTTAAAAGATTCCTTAAACTGTTCACGTACAAAATTGAACAAAAAAATTGGGTAAAAGGAGAGTTCTTCATTCACTTTGCAATATTTTCATAACCAATATTAAAACAACAATAATTTTAATATAATCCCATTAGATGGGGCATCTGTTGTATGCCTGCACTAGGCTATTCGCATTACAGACATTACTTCGCTTGATTCCAAAGACATCTCACAAAGTAAGCATCACAAGCTCCACTTTACAGATGAAAATAACAAGGATTGCAGACATTAAGGAGCTTGCCCAAAGTGAGAAGCCGATCTAGGAGTCAATCCAAAACTTAAGTAAATCTGACTCAAATGAAACAAGTTTCCTTCTTATATTTGACTTGTGCAGAAGATTCTAGTTTGACATGACCACTGACCTGCAGGTGGCATTTCTGGGGCACTTCTAAATGTCTCCAGGAGTCCAACTGGAACCTCTCAGTCATAATGAATTCATTTTGGATGGAGAGGAAAAGTTGAAGACTTGTCTGAGACACTGAGTCTTTGCTCTTTCCACCCTTTTTTGCTCCTTCTTTTCCAACAAATCACTTACTCCCTGCAGCCAATCTTTGCAAAGTGCAACCCAGTGAAGCAATTCATTCTATAATGAGAATAGTCCATCGGCTAAACATCCTCTGAGAGTGTTTAAACTTCAAATGAAAAATGCATTAATCCCAACAATTCTTTAAACACCCCAACAGAGGCAGATGTAAGAGAACAAGTCCTTATTTTATGCTTCCGAAGCCCATTTCTGGAGGCATCCTAGCCCACCATCTGCTGCTGCTCCCAATCATGAGGATACCACACACATGGGTTCAATTTACCTTAGCAGCCCACAAGTCACTCTCCAGGCTCAGACTGTTTTCTCATGTGCATCTCTATAAAAATCAAAGCTAACCACTGCAGCGGCACAGAAATGAGTGTTTCAGTACATAATTCCGTCGCTAAAGGCTGAATCTGTACTGCAGCCGATGTAGGGTGAGGGCCTCAGAGTTGAGGAAGAGATATAAATAGCAAGGTTTATAGGGGTTCAGGGAACTAACCTTGTGGATGTTTAGCCTCCGAATGCCTCAAGTCAAATCATAAACCGGAACTCACCTTACCCTTTCTCTTGGACCACTAGAGGGCGCTAGTCGCGACTAGCAGGGCTGAGCCTTACAGGAAGTGGACTCATCATGCCTTTACCACAGGTGGTTGGCACCTGCAGGGAGCCGCACCTGGTTACAGACCCCAAGGTGTGTTTGCAAAATGGGAACTCCATGGTTTTGGCCCAGAAGCACACGAGTTCAAATCCTAATTCTGCTGCTTCCCATTATCTTTAACCACTTTGAGCACATTTCTCACTAGGAAGAGTATTTTGCTCAGAAAGAATTTGAAGGTTTTCCTGTCTCATGTGGTTTTAATTGCTGGCTATGAAAATATGAAAAACTGTCTTCTTACCAAAAGAAGGTCTTCTTCATAAAGCAGCAATGCATTTTGCTTGCTTGGCCCAAGCAAAAAATTCTGGATTAACCATTTTCATATTTAAGGTTCTCTAAAATATAGACAATAAATAGTTCTAGAAAAGGAATAAATGGCCACGAGTTAAGTACAGGTGTTCTTAATTAACAACATAATTAATGATTAATGGGGATAGTATGGGGAAGTGCTGGACCAAACAACAATAACAACAACACATCCTCAAAAACAATGATTGCTGACTGTTCAAAGGATTAATCAGACCAACTAATCTATAGTTCCTAGCATATAGCCAGTGTGGAGTAGATGATAGCAATGTCAGTTCCCCATAGAAAACTAGCAATGGCTCTTGTCTCCAGGACAGGTATGGCTGAAATAGACAAATGAGGACATGAGAAACTTTATAGTGCTGGGGTTAAGAGTGTGGAATAGTGGATTCAGATCCTGGTGAGCAAGTTTCTTAATCTCTCTGTGCCTCATTTTTTCTCTGTAAAATGGGATAATCCTAGTAACCAGTTCATACAGTTGTTGTGAGGATTATGGGAGCACTTAGAACACTGCCTGGCCCACTGGAAGCATTCTGTATGTATTGGCTATTTATTATTACAATAGTAATTAGAATTTACATAAGAGCAAGTGGACACACCCACACACACACACACAAAGCACTCTCAAAGAAGATAGGAAAAGCTCAGAGATGTTTGTCCACAGAAGAGGCCCCTCAGGGGGAGTGTGAGACCTGCCTTCCCCTTTTATTAAAGAGCTATCAAGCAGAAGAAGGTTTTTGATTCATTGTGTTTGGCCCTCAGGGATAAACCAGGCTCAATGGATTTAAGCAACAGGGGATTCGTTTTTGCTCAATTTTAAGAAAAAATGAAAACTGGCTGAGCTGCTCAGAGATGAAACAGGCTTCTCTTAGAAGGGGGTAGTTTCTGGCCACAAGAGGAGTTCAAGCAGCAACTGGACACCCCTTTGGCAGAAGTAGCCCCAGTGTACTGTAAGCACTGACTGAATGATGAAAACAGCTGACCTTTAAGGACCTTCTCAAGACTGAATCTTAATGACAACATGATAAATAATGAAGCCAGAAAAATAGACAGATTCTCCATAAAAATTGCAGGCTACATGATAGAGATACTGACAAAATGCCCTTGAGTCCATCAGATTTGGTCCCCATTTTTTACTGGGCCAGGACTTACTGTTTGGTGTTTGTCCATACCAACTACCCCCTTACAGACAGAGAGCTGTCATAGGAGCTTGCTCACTTCTTAGTCTGAGATGATCTTTCAAGAAAACAGCAAGAAATGCTATTCATTTGAGATGAGGACCTGGTTTTTGGTGAACCATTCCATTTTAATTCATGGCTTATTGGCAATCACTCATTTCCTGCTGGAAATTAATTAAGGCTTGTGTTCTGCAGGAGCTGGTGTTTGCTTTGAATCCTAGACCCTACTGCCAAAACTTTGAAATGACAAAAACACATCTCCAATTTGGGACTCGATGAGGCACATTTGAAGAGCCCCCTGTCGTTCTCAGCTATTCTAATCTGAACAATGTGCTATAAATGTTCTCAGCAACAATGCACAGGGTGGATTTCAGCCACCTGGAAGTGCCTGCTGATTTTACTAAGGAAGAAAAGTGTCACTCGGACTGGACATAAAAAGCCATTTCAAAGCGTAAAAAGTAGTATTTTCACTGTTTAGAGATTTTTAAATTACCCTCTTTATATTGTGCTTCTGTAATCCTTTTATTAAAGAAGTAATGCTCTATGTACAAAAAAGGATAGTAAAATGTCACTTAACTAGAACGCAGTATTCCAGTTAATGAGTTTTCTGTTTAACAGGGGGCCATGATTTATCACTTCCCTAGTTTCTTACCTAAATTTCTTTTAAAATCTATATTCATCTTTGTGGCACTCCTGAGCTTCTGTCTGCTCAGGAGGGTAAGTATCTCTTCTGGTAGTTTTAAGAACTAGCAACAACACTTGCCATAAAGGCAAATTGTGCCCAGCAACAAATGACTGAGGAGATAAAATCATGACCTTTACGTTGAAACCCCGGATCTATACAAAGAATAGGTAACAAGGAGGAAACAAGAAACATTTTTTCAGCCCAGATGCTCTTCTTATGTTCTGAGAAGCTGCTCATGGGAGCAGACCTTCTATTTCGGGGACATACAGAGGATATATAATATGGAATCAATTCTACTTTTACAAGGAAAGGCTACTCCTTACCTCTCTTTGTATAGATATTTCCAATCTCTGGAAGTACACAAAGCTTTGTCATTGATCCCTACCTCACAGCATAGCAGTGGGTACACCCAGTATAATCGGTTGCAATTCTATTAGCCTATTTTCATCTTCAATCTTATTATATCAAGACTGTCTTCCACCATCTTCAAAGATCCCTCCCAATGTCTAGATGTTATATTGTGGTATAATATAATATTTAATAAAGAAGATCATTCCTTGAAAAATAAAAGGGACCCTATTTTTTATTTGAAAAACACAGAAATAATTTTGTCTTCTGACACAATTTGTATATAGATAAATGAAGGGGTATGTTAAAAAATAAAATTAAAAAAATTAAAAAACTGAAGAGGCATTAGCGTATGTAACTTACATTGTATACAAGCAGCAATGATTGGAATCCTCTTTAATCAAAGAAGAAAAAAGTTAGATATTTAAATTCTGAAAACATGATGAAGAGATGCATTCAATGCATTGCTATCAAATTTCTAATTGAAAGCCAAAGTTTTAAATAGCTAAAGCACAACACTGATTCCTGACATTAGATAAAGTATAATTAAAAGTCTAATTTTGACGCAATCGAGCCTGTTTAAATTGGACTCATAGCAGAATGAAATTGGCCCCCTATTTGGGCCACATTATCAAGTTGCCAGGGTCTTGAAAAACTGTCATGACATCTGCAGATGCTATCATGAAAGAGAAGTAGATCCCCGAATTAGCAAATTGCCTTGTGTTCCTCCATAAAAAATTAAGTTTAGTTTAAGAACCTTCATTACTTTTCTTGACATACTAACAACTGTTCACTGAAGATCAAATATATCTAAAACAGTAGGTTAAAGCTTGCAAAGAATACAAAGAGAAGGTTCTAACCGTTCCACTAATAGCAACTACAGCAAGAAAATGAAGAAAAATTCTCAACGAATGAGAGTCCATTTGAAAGCATAGGTGCTTACATGTACTGAGTTCTTACTGAGCACCATGCACTGTTCAAAGTATTTCACATTTACTGACACTTTTACTCTTCCCAGTAAACCTAGGAGTTAGTTGCCGATATCAATTCTATCTTAGGTATGAAGCAGTTGAGGCAAAAGGATTAAATGATTTGTCCAAAGTCACAGAACCAGCAAATGGTGAAGGCAAGACTTGAATCAAGGCAGTCTGATGCCAAAGCCACATTCTTGACCACCAGATCCTAACTCCTGGAGATGACGTAAATACTGCAAATGTCCTGGCATATTGCCGTGCAAACTCAAGGCACAACTCCAATTATTTCCCGAGGATAAATCCTTCAAAGCAAATGTACTGGGTCAAAGCATTTGCACATTTTAAATTTATACCTAGTGCCTAGATGTTGAGTAGAGCCTGGGCTGTCAGGAAAGGTGGGGGAGGGTATTCCAGACGGTAGAAACAGCATGACCAGAAGGACAATGGGGATCACAACCCAGTGGCAGCAGGAGTTGCATGTGTCTAGTGTGTGGAGGATAGCATGGGACGTGGAATGGCGGGTCATGGTGGAGCAGTGGGTGGTGGCTCTCTTAGCATTCTGGCTGCCTTTTCTCTCATTGGATTTATAATCCCCTTGATTCCTTGCAATTGTATTCAATTGTACTAATGCTGTTTGCATTAATAATTTGCTAGAAAAAGAAAGTATTATGGATCTTTCAGTCCTTCCTGGTTCTTAAATTCCCCTGAAAACCCTTGAAAATAGACAGCAAATGATTTGACTATTAAATTATGAGGTGCCAAATTCAGCTCTTTAAAAGCAGCTTCTTTTCTTTGCACTATAAGAAAGTATTACTAACAAAAATGCCAACCTTGGCATGGAAGATATTGCAGAACATGGCATTACCAGAGTACACATTGTCTTAGGTTACACTCCTCAAAGGACAGCTGAATTTTCAGGGATACAGTAGAGTTTCTCCAGCTGCTTTGACTGGGTCCTGTAATAATGGAATTGTAACCAGCAGAAATAGGCAGGCAAGGCTCTCCGTAATGCAGCATTGTAGAACTGACTCCTGCCCTGACTCTGGTCCAGGGTGAGAAGTACATCACAATCACAGCCTCGGGAACTGGTACATTTCCCAAAAGGCTCAATGAAACCAGAGGCCTTGTAGTAGGAGGGCCAATTTATTAGCTGAAGTCCTTATCTTTACCTGCAGGTGTAAGCAGCACTCTAGCCTGGGGCTATAGTGAGGATATATCATCTGCACCTTGAGAATTCCACTGCCAATCCATTCCTGTCTTCCACTCCACATTTACTGAACACTTAACAATGTACCAGGCATTGTGCTAGGCTCTGTGAGTGAATAAACAAAAGGGAGCTCCTTTCTCTGGGCTCTCATGAGGCTTACAAGTTTGGGTAGTACATAGTTCTTTAAAAATAACATACCTAATGCTAAATGACGAGTTAATGGGTGCAGCACACCAACATGGCACATGTATACGTATGTAACAAACCTGCACATTGTGCACATGTACCCTAAAACTTAAAGTATAATAATAATAAAAAAAAACCACTTCCAAACAAATGGCTATGGAGTCATAGAAAGGGTGCTGTGAGAGAGTATAAATGGGAGAGAGGTGAGACTCTAATTTGGGGAGAAAGGCCTTTCTGACCTAGCGTGGTGGATTTATGGCTTTAATCATCCTAATTCATCATCCTCTCTATATCCCCGTCCTTATTATGGAACTAACAGATCTCCATTCAGGAAGCAAAGTCTAATTCTCTGCCCCTTGATCACAAGCTAAGAAATGTGATTTGTTTCCGCCAATGGAATATTAGAAGATGTAACACACCAGAGCATTGAACAAATACTCGTACTTGATATCTCTACTTGTGCTGTTGTGCCTCTGTCATTCCCACGAGAACATTCCCTAGCTAGCCTATGGGAGGATGAGACACATGGAGCAGAACTGAGTCATCCCAGTCTTCTTAGCTGAAGCCATCCTAAGTCAGCCAGCAGCTCGATGATCCCCAGACATGTGAGTGAGCTCAGCCAAGGTCAGTAGAGTCATCAAGGTGAACCCCACCCACTCAAATGTGACAAATGCCTACTGTTGTGTTTTATGCCAGTGAGGTTTTGTTGTTGCTACACAACATTATTGTGACAAGAGATAGCTGATACATAAGGCAACATTATAGCTGCGCCCTGAGGAGCAGTGAGCCAAGTTAAGCAAGAGTAAGTCCTTGAGCCTTGAGAAAAAGTGAAAATGGAGAGAAGTGGGTGGATTTTAGATGTATTTTGGACATTAAATCAACAGGACGTGGTGGTGATAGATTGCATAGAAGATGAGAACCTAAGGGGTACCCAGAGAGACTCCTTGACATCCAGTTTGGGCAACTAAGTTGATAGCTAACGAATTTACTAAAAAGGAAAGATTGAGGAACAGCCGTTTTGGAGGTATATGAAAATTAAGAATTCAGTTGCAGTTGAGAAATCAGGGTGCATGAGAAACATGTAAGTGGAAATGTCAGACAGACAGCCTTAAACTCAAAAGGGGCATATGGAAGAAACAGTGACGTGAATTTGGGAGTGGACAGCAGGTATGTTTCCATCCATGAGATTGAATGATATGCCCTTGAGGCAAGACTGTTGATTGAGAATGGGAGAGTGCCTGGGCCTGAAAGTTGTGTGTGTGTCTACGTGTGTGTGTGTGTGAGATGGTTACTTGTATTCCAAGGCAAAATGACAAAAATGTAGATTTTATTGTGCATTCATCAAAAACACAAAGAAAGAAAGTACTCAAAACCACTGTTTTACAGCATAATTATTGGGCAGCTTGGCTTATACACCTTTATATGTTGGTCAGGATAATGGATAGAGAGAACAGACTAAGAGAGTCTAAACTGAATTCCAGCAGAAAGACATGGGGCCACTCCAGCAAGAAAAGACATTTGGTGTGTGATGCAGCATGGGAAGTACAGGTGCTATAATGTGTTGGCTTTGCCTCTAGAGGATTTTAGAAAGTTTTGCAGTCTCTCTTTTGCTACTTCTTCAGAAAAATGAATGAATAAATGAATGAATGAATCTAGTCTGTCTATCTACCTACCTATAAGTTGGTTCAAAAGTAATTGCAATTACTTTTGCACCAACCTAATACCTACCTGTCTATGTCTATAATCTTAATGGAGCGTGTTTATGGTTAAAGTGATGCTGTGCATAGCCTTTCCTATTAGCATAACACATGCCCCACACATCTGTTTGGTTATGTTTTAGATGCTCTGCTGCATTTGAATTCCTGTGTGCTATGTAATACCATCAGAGATTTGAATAGAAGAAATGCTGAATAAATACTTCTGAAATTAAAGAATAAATGGTTTTTACATGCAATTATTTATTTTTCTGAGCCAAGAAAACCCACATGCAAACAAAACCAAAAACAAAACAAGATTTAAATATTCAGATGAATAATCAATATTCCACACTGACTCATTACATGTTGAGGAAAAAAAAAAAAAGCCCCAATTCCACACTTCTAAATGGAATACTTAGTTCAGTCAGTGAATAAGGTTTTTTTCAGTATATTTACTTTAAAGCATGTCAGTTTAAAAAAATAAATATTAGAAATATTATCAAGATAATAATGAGTAGCTTGAGGAACAAGAAAAATATGTTGGTTTTTCTCTCAGCATCTGCTAGTCACAAGCACTCTTTAAAGGATAACACAAACTCTACCAATTACTCTTGTCTCTTGTGGTGCAGACGCAGAGCTTTATATTCTTGATTCAAGTTCTTGCATCTTTTTTTTTTTTTTTTGAGACATAGTCTTGCTCTGTCACACAGTATGGAGTGCAGTGGTGTGATCATGGCTCACTGCAGCCTTGACCTCCAAGACTCAAGCGATCCTCCTACCTCAGCCATCCAAGTAGATGGGACCACCCATGTGCACCACTATATCTGTATATTTTAATTATTTTTGGTAGAAACAGGGTCTCACTATGTTGTTCAGGCTGGTCTTGAACTCCCGAGCTCAAGCAATCCTCCTGCTAGGCCTCCCAGAGTGTTGGGATTACAGATGTGAGCCAAGCACCCAGCCTCTTGCTTCACCTTATTAAAGATAATGGGCATTTGATGGGGACTGTGATTTAAAATGGCAAACAAGAAGCATGTGAGCCTGCAAAATCATGCAGTGAAGATTTTGGCAAAAAAAAAAAAAAACCCAAAAAGAAATCTACTAAGGTGGTAAGACAGCAAATGAATGTTGAGGTTTAGAATTGAAGGTGGCCTCTCTAGGGGCTGCACATATTATGCAGGCAGAATTCACTGAAATTAATAGCTCTTGACTGACCAAATGGCCAGAGCTTCCTGAAAAAATGCCCTGCTGTTATTTCTAACAGTGATGTCTATGCCTCACCTTTTAAAATCCTTCTCAGTGGTTGTGCATTAATGATACTGATATCCTCAGAATCCCAAGAAAGCTTTCTTTTGCCAATCAATACTATCCACTCTCAGCCACCCCTCAGTGGTTATAACGATTATTACTTGGCATTCAATTGCCTTTCTCCATTTTCTCCACTTCCCTTTTGGAATTTTTTATCAATAAACAAAGAGGCCATGTTATTTAGTGGCTTTTTCATATACTACTTTTGTATTGACTAATTTGTATATCGATGTACTCAGCTAATTTCCAGATATTGAACATTATTACTATTAACATGGCTAATCAACTTTTTTGAGTGTAAATTCATTTTTTCTACAGAAATGGGGAAAGATTGACAATTTTCAATATGGAAAAGAAACACAAGTGGTATAGTCGCATACTAGGTCCATCTTATCCGCAATTTTATACGTACATTTTATACTTATAAACATACACATATAGATATACACATATAGATATACATGCATATGTATAAATATATACATGCATGTATACATGCATATGCACATACAGGAGTATGCATGTATATATGTATGCATATATATTGTGTGTACATGTACATATACATACATCTATACAGATGTATATATAGGTGTGTGTGTATGCATGTGTTTGCATGTGTGTGTATATATATACATATACACACAACTATATGTACTCAAGTTCATTCAAAGCAAGATAAATGATGATATACTGAGATAGAAAAGGCTGCGACTGAGTAGAAAATACTTTGTATCAAAAAAATGAACTTTCAAACTCTCTCATCTTCCATATAAATGGTTACTCAAACATATGGTCATTTCATGATATATAATGTCTGCATGAAGCTACAACGATGGAAAAGCATTGTACATTTTCATAACCTTTCTCTAGGTCTGCTCCACACTTTATGAAGCATCCCCGATGACTCCAGACATTTGCATTTACATCACACAGTGCTGGTGGGACAGGGGGATCAATAAAGGCTGGGCTCAACCACAGCCAATGAAACAAAACACCCAGAGGAAGGAATGCCAAACAAGGAGACATAATTCAGAAAGAAAGGGCTATGTACACATTCCATCCCTCTGCTCCTTCTTTTTCCTTAAATCACCTTTCCTCCTAACCTCAAGACAACTGTTCACAACTACAAAGTTAATGGGAAAAGGGACCTAAAAGACATTGCCTAGGCCAATAAACATGGTTATTACCTCAGCTAGACAAAATGTAGAGAGCTCTCGGGTTCTTGGAGGGCATATACTTGTCCTTGTTCCCCACTGTCAGGACTAAATTAAAGTTAAAAAGGTTCAGAGCACAGCACGGAAGTGAGGACTCTATTAATCTGTATGATTCCTGAAAGAACACTGACGGGTGATGGGAGGTGACTCCAAGTAATTTCAGAGGACAGATGGATCACACACAGTGTTTAAGACACAACGTTGTACAAAACAGGCTTGTAAGTTTCTCATGTATGTCTTTCTACAGCAAGACATAATTAGGTGATTAACTTGACATATTCAATGGCTAATTACTGACAGAACACCACATATTCGTTTTAAAAATGTTCTGATATCTGGTCTTAACATGAAAATAATTGCAGTGACTATCTTAATATAGATTTCAATCCTCTGTAGTATTTGGTTGAGACGAACTCACCCCATAAACTTAGTCAAAATTGGTTCAGTAATCTTTCTCCTGTTAAAAATAAGTAAACTTGGAGGAGGTAGAGGTGGGAGGATTGCTTGAACCCAGGAATTTGAGACTAGCCTAGGCAACAAAGTCAGACCCCATTTCTACAAAAAAATAGAAAAAAATCAGCCAGGCGTGGTGGTGTGCAACTGTAGTCCCATCTACTCGGGAGGCTGAGGTGGGAGGATCACTTGAGTTCGGGAGGTCAAAACTACAGTGAGGTATGATTGTGCCACTGCACTTCAGCCTGGGTGACAGAGACTCTGTCTCAAAAATAAAATAATAAAAAAGAGGATATATATATAGAGAGAGACTAAATGCCAAATGATAGCTAATATCCTTTGGCAAGTACATAAGTGAAAACATCAGTGAATTATTTTGGCTATAGATCAATCTAGAAAGCAGCTTTTATTTATTTATTTATTTTGATTAATTCTTTTTGGTTAGCAAACATAGATTTGGTCCATAATAGAGCCTAGAAATTCTTTTGTTTTAAGGCAAGATGTAAACATGACTGAAATAAGATTTTTGCCCTGGAAACTCTCATAATTTATTAGGAGACATGCAGAAAAATTCATATTTACAATACATGTGTAAAACATGAAAGTTACAAAATTTTAAAGGCTTACCAAAGAAACCTTTCCTCCTATCATATTTTAATATTATTTTGTTATAAATATAAAAATACTCAGCAATATGTGTATCACACATTTGTGTGTATTCTGTCATTATAATAAAAACCAATTTATCTACCTCCCAATTTAAAACATAGAAGGTTACCTATATCATTGCCTTGACCTATATATTCTTCCTGTATCACATCGTTTTGTCTACACACCCACCAGGAGAAAACACCTTGTTAAAATTCTGTGTTAAATGTAGTCCTGTTTCATTGTATAGTTTTATCCAACAGGTATTATCCACTATAATATGTTTAAAGTTATGTTTGCTTTGAACATAATGTATCATACTGCACGTAGTCTTTTGCATTTTTCTTTTATCTTTAAGGCTTATATTTCTAAGATTTCAAGATGTTGCTGCATGTAGCAGTAGTTCATTCATTTTTTACCACAGTGTAATATTCCAGTGTGGGACTATACCACTAGTTATTTTCCTATCGATGGTCATTTAAGTTGACATTATTAACATATTACTATCATCATTCTTGTGCAGATCCCTTGGTAAACTTGTGCTAGGCTTTTGGCAGGGTATATCCCTAAAAGTGGATTTTCTGGATTATAGGGAGTGTAATGTCTAATTGTACAGGATTGTGTGAAATTGTTTTCTAAATGGTGGTGTCAATTTAATCTTCCAACTAGCAGAGAACAAGCACTTCTGATAAGGCCATCTTATCAGGAGTGCTTGTGCTCTGCTAGTTGGAAGATTAGTCCAGGGTCATCTTACCTTCAATTTTATACTTAGATACATATACATATAGACATGTAGATATACACACATATACATGCATGCACATGTATAAATATGTATAAATATATACATGCACACATATGTGTAAGTATGTGTATATATATGCATATAAATTGTGTGTACATACACTGAGTCATAGGGTATGTTTCATATCCCTAATGACCCACTTTATCCTCAACTTTTGGTAATGTCAGATTTTTAAATTTTCACCAGTTTATTGGGTATATACAATATCTCACTGTGATATTAATTTGCATTTTCGTGATTAATGATGAAGTTTAGAATGACTGTGTCTACTGTCTGACCTGGATAAAGGGTGGAAGAAAAACTGTATGTCATTGTGGGAAGTCAGGAAGGAGAATATCATTTTTTGTAAACTGGGATATTTTGTCAATGTCTTGCATTGTGTTAGGTTCATACAATTTTTTTTCTAAATATATAATTTAGGTCATCCTCTAAAGAAGCTTACAATTTCACTAAGAAAATGACTTCTGCATTAAAAAGGTTGGGAATGAAAAACATTCCTCTCATTTCCAGCACACAGTGGATGTTCTATTAATCTTTCTTGAATGAACAATTGCACAAGACGTCCCAAGATGTGCAACTCAAATAGATCTTCTAGATGCCTCATGACCAACACGAACCTATCTTTTCTGCCACAGACCCGCCCTTTCTCTAGTCCCTTACTTCTCTGCAATGGCATCTGTGCCCACTCACTTTCTTAGAATGGGAAATGGTGTCATCCTTGACTCTGCTATCCCTTTCACTGGCCAGTTTTATCTACTGAATGTTTCCGTAGCTAAGTGATTCTCAAAGCATAGTACACAGATCTCTGGGGTTCCCCAAGACCCTTTGAGGGTCCCTGAGGTCAAAATAATTTCATAATGATATTAAGAGGTTATTGCCTTTTTCACTGAGATGAAATCTGCACTTTATACAAAAGCAATGCTAAAAAAAAAACTGCTTATGTCTTCATACAAATCAAGACAATGGCACCAGACTTCCAGTGTACCAGAAATCATTTGATTATTCATTCTACACACTCACTGTTAAAAACACACTTCAAGAATGTCATCCTTGAAGTGCTAAAAGTTATTAATTTTGTTAAATTTTTTTACTCTTTGTGGCTTTTCAAATGTTCTGTATGACAAAATGAGAACTATACATAAAATAATTCTCCGGTATACTGAAACACTTAGGAGACTGAGTTTTAAGCTGAACCAGTCATTCTTCCCAAGTAACACCATTTTTACTTGAAAGAATGACAGGAAAACTAGGGTTATTCAGACTTGGATATGTGACAGATATTTTCTTGAAAATGAATAAAGTGGGTCTATCAAGGTAAATAACTGACAGTATGTGTTGCCAATAATAAAATGCAAGCTACCAAGCAAAACTTAGAATTTTGGGAAGCTTGTATCCACCACTGTGAGCTTGATGGGCTTCTCAATATTTACAGACTTTTTTTTAAGAGATCAGTGGTGACATTAATGAATGTGACCACATATGACATCAAATCACACTGTGACCAAAAACCATGTTTTTGCAACCACAGTGTCAATCAAAACATAACACTTTAAAGTGATAAGCTCTTCCTACTATGGCTACTGATAGTGTATTCACCCACTTAACAAAAGGACCTACTATGTGCTACGTTCTGGGTACAGCAGTGGTAACAGATTTAAAAACCCAGACATTGTCCAAGGAGTTTTACATATGTTAATTAACTTAATGCTCACAATAATGTTATAAGAAATGTAACATTAAAAACCTCTTTTTGTAGTTGTGGACATTGAGCCATAGGAGTTGAGTAACTTGATTAATGTCACAAGCTTGTAAGTAATGGAACCAGGCCCCTTTTAAGTCAATTCATAATTATAGCATTATGCAGGACAATATGGTACAGCTGAATCTCATAACCGATTCTTTAAATTTCCTCCTGACTTTAGAATAACAGGAAGAGTTGACATTTCAAGCACCCTTACTAAGTGCCAGGCACCCTTCAAAGAGCTTCATGGGAATTAGTCCTCACACTGAACCTATAAGGTTAGGTACAGATTATGCACCCATTTTAAACATGAACAAACTGAAGGTCAAATACTTTATGTAATTTGTCATTGCTAAATATCTATGAAGAGTCTGGGAATCAAACTCAGGCCTTCTACTTCTTGAGACCCTTTTCTTAAGCAATTGGTTACATTTCACTAAAAAGCACAACTGTGCTTGAACAAATATGTTTAAGGTAACAAATAAGCCTATTACCAGACATTGAGATTAAAGAATCTTGATGTGTAACTAGAAAGGAATCAACTTTGCAGGCAAGCAGAAGCTTTTTGATTGATTCATCCAATCCCCATTCGACCCTAGAGTTATCTTAAAAGCTGAGTGATTTGAAAGTTTCTTTCTTCAGTCAGGCTCAGTTTTTCTAGAACTTTAGCTCCCTTAGAATTACCACAGAGGGTCATAAGCATAAAACCACACTGCAGTACTTTGAGGTATTTGAAAGCATTTTCAGAGTTAATTTGGACTCTATGGCATTTTCTCCACTATGTGCTGACTTTATAACCTACCCTTCACTATAACAGAGCCTGGGCAACATTCCAGAGATAGCACAGATAAACCCTTTAATATGTATTGGAAAGCATTCCAAAAGCCATCTGGGATAGGATCAGGGAAGGGCAGAAGGATTAACCTGTGAGTCAAAATTAGTTAATATATACATTTCATCAATCTTAATGTTATTTTCATGATAATACCACCATGACAATTTCTCAGTGCTTCAACTTCCCCATCTGTAAAATGGGAATAAAGACAGTACCTACACCATGGTGAAGTTATGAAGACTAGATGAGTTTAATTTGCCAAGTGCTGGTATGGTCTGGCACACGGTGAGCACACCCTTTGTTAATTAAACTAAAACAAAAATGAAAATGTGCCATCGAGTTGTGTAACAAAACACAAGAAGTTGAATGTACATTTCCAAATATCAACAAATAAATCATGGTTTGGTTTTGAAATCATCCTCGTTGTCTGTAGTGTCTATACACTCACATGATTCCTAAAGAAATAGTTGAGAGGAACAGATTAATAACTAGTTGCTCCTGGGCTTCCACAAGTAGCTTCATGGTGGCAATAACAGAACCCAAAGGGAAAGCTGTTCTTGGACCTTGAGCCCAGTTTCAGTGGCCCCACTGTTTTTGCTGTTTTCCTTGTTTTGGGCAGGAATAAGGCTCACAGGTGGGCAAACAGCAGCTGGGCCTGGGAGGTGGCAAGAAAGCCTGTGTTGTGCCAATCAGAACACTCAGAGAACAACACCCTGCAAGCAGCAGAGCCTGATCAGGAGCTGGATTTATTTTTCATTGACCTGGAAGGCACTATTTTATTCCTCTTTTGCCTTTGACAATGCTAAACACAAATGTTGCATTTTCAAGATTAAATCTTAAGCCCACAAAAAATTACTGCAACACAGAAGCTTCTACTCAATTTTCAGTTTGATGGGGCATTTCTTTTCTCATTTCTTTTTTTTTTTTTTCACAAAAAGATTGTTACTGGAGGGTCCACTAAAAGCCAAGTCACCATGAGGTCTATTCTGAGCACTGATGAATAAAATCCCAAAGCACTTTACACTATGCACAATCTTGTCAATAGTTGTAACTTATAATTTATATAATTTATAGTTATAATTTATGTTCTTCCAAATGGTGATACAGTGTTGTATTATAAAATGTAAGATGGACAACTGCCTTAGTTAAAGGTCTTCAAGTCAGTGGCACAGGAATCTTGATTATGGGCTCTACACAAGGTCAGGGGCAAGCGGCTGGGAACTGGGGAGAAGTCACTGGTGCACAAAAGGTCAAAGCAGCACAGTTTATATTTGGACATTGTAACAGACACTGTGTTCTCTGTCTATATCCCCTTGCCATTTATTATTCCCAGGTAGACCCAACCCTACAGCTTCAAGTGCAAGCGCTTTCATCTCTTTGATGGAGAGTTTTCTCTGGCTGTCAAAACCAGCCAGGCCTATGTCCAGAATGCTTGGAGTTAATGTGAAAAAGTAGCCCTCAACCCAGGACTGATGTGATTGGTGACTTGTTCCTGGTTGGAATAAAACCTAAGTGTGAACCTGTGCTGTCTCCTAGACAACTCCATAGATTGAACACCAGCTGCCCATAATATGACTTATTTGACAATGCATCCCCTATTTGGCTTCCTCCTCTCCCTGTCTCACTTTCCCATTCTTGGCAGGTTTCCTGGCACGACCTTCCAGAAAACTACTTGCATTCAGAGTCCTTGTCTCGGAATCTCCTCCTGGGGGAACCCAAACCAAGACAGAGTAATCCAGGATCTTCTCTTGAGTTCTGGAGTCAATTTTTCTCTTTTATGTCTGGACCTCAAAAGCAAAATCAATTTCTATTTACCTATCAAATAAAAGCCAAGTTTCAGCTTTTTATAAACTATGATACAGCTGCCTTCTAACAGCTTTCAGGAAGCCTATTGCACCATTTTAGGGTACACAGTAAAAATTAATTAGACCCAAGGAAGCCAAGAAATCAATTAGAATGAATCAAGTTATAAATCTCCAGTTGCCTGCTGTTTTATATTAAATGTTGAAATATTACAAAAGATGAATCAAATGATCTTTGAGAAATTATAACTGCCATCATCCACCTCTATTAGGCACTGGCACTCACTCATTAGTTACTTTCAAGCCATTGGGAAACACTGTCAAAACTGCAGCCTAATGGTTTGGAGTCATGGGAGGCTGGAAGAGAAACTGACAGTGGAACAGTCTCCCATTGAGTCATGCTCGTTCAAGATTCCGAGTGTCCTGGGGCAGTGTATAGACTTTATTCACTGTGAGATCCACCAGAGGGATGCATTGTCTTTACTTGTTAGCCTGGTCAACCTGACTTATAACTTCATCTTTCAATAGAGGCCTTTATTCAGAGTATTTCAGGTGACACATTTGGGATTCAGGCTGCCTGGATTCAAATTCTGCTTCCATCTCTTGCCAGCTGTGTCATTTTGAGCACATGGCTTAACCTCTCTCTGCCTCAATTTCCTCATCTGTAAAATGGAAATAATAATAGAACCTATTTCACCGAGCTGTTATGAAGATTAATGAACAAATCCCTTGCCACTCTTAGTGTGGTCTGGAGACCAGCAGCATCAGCTTTCCCGGGAGTCTCAGTGGAAATGCAGTTCCTCAGGTCCCTCATCAGACCCACTGAAAGAGTCTGCATTTTAACAAGATCCACAGGGGACTTGTGTGCACATTAAAGCCTGAGAAGCACTGCTTTAGTCCATGTCAAGTGCTTGTTTAAAGCAGTGTTAGACAGGCTGAAAGCACTCAATCAATTCTAGCTATTACTATCTCAACTAATAAAGCACACACTAATAAGCAGACGACACTTGTTAGGAGTGAAGCATGCAGAAGCTGGAGAATGGGAACCCGGGTTGAAAAAGCCAGGATCTGAGGTGATCTGGATGGGACACTGATAGCATCCACTACAGTTGGGCATGACACAGATTTCCAAAGTTCCTACCTCATCCCGCCCCTACTCATTCAACAAATTGTGTCCCCGGTACCTAACTATGTGCCTGGCACTTGTTTAGAAACTGATGATACAACACTGATGTGCTCTGGAGCTTATGGTATCTAGTGGAAAGGAGACAGATAATAAGCAGTAAATATATAAATATACCTGCTATTTCCAGATAGTGATAAATGCTATGACTATACATAACAGAGTAATAGAGTGACTGTTGGAGGCAAGAAAGAGGAAGGTGGATCAGTAACTGTAGTTAGTACTTCCGTGCCCCACTCAGGTTCCCTTCACGGGGCCATTGCACCCATCCTGCAGATGCTGAAGGTGTCAGCTGCTAACAGCTGGCACCTCTACCGTTCTCTGAAGGACTGTTGTTGGCTGAGGAGTACCACCCTGGCCGAAGATGCCTGGAAGTTTATGCATGCACCTCTGGGAGAGGTAGGCTGCTGGTAGTCCATGACATTCTGCAGGACAGCTCTGTGGTGCAATTCCTACCCCAAAGCTCCCTGTGGGACCAGGTTGAGGCTAGACCTTCTGTCCCACCTTTACTTTATTTCTAATCCTACCCTATTTTTCTTTCTCACTCTCTTTCTCCAGAGAGCATTCCCTCCAAAAATCACTTGCATCAGAATCTCCATCTCAAGCTCTGCTTCTAGACCGTCTGACAAAAAATAGTAACTTCTCCTCTTCTTTCCAGAATTTTCTTTCTTTGACAGCCTCCCAGGGCAAGAGTTCCAGATATCAAGATGAATGGCTACTTCTCATTTTTTTGTAGCCTCCAGGCCCCTCAAGGACAAGAAGCTGACTAACAAGAAGCTCTATTTTAGTTCATATTGGCATCTGGATAGAAACGCAAGATAGAGAAGGGCAGACCTAAAACACAGCCTTCAAGTTCAGCCAAGAATTTCCAATGTACCGATTGGAGGGTCCTCTGCAACTAGCCTAAGTCAGTGGAAGAAATATAATAGACAGTTACACCTCAGATAGAGAAGTTCTTTGGTTTAGCACATGTCAAGTGCTTGTTTAAAGCAGAGTTAAACAGGCTAACTCTAGGGCATTTAATAAGCTGCTGCCAAATATATTCAAAATGGCTGCGTCCAACACACATCTTTGTCTTCTTCTTGATGAAGACATCTAAAATCTTTCTCTAAGTGTAATGTCAGTAAAATCTACCCAAATCCTCAATGCTTAAGCTTCATTGGTAATAAATAGGTTTTTAACTGGCCCCATGGACCTTAGCTTTAGGAGGCGTTAATGCAGCAAAGATCATTGTCACATGTAAATGCCATAAATTCCGTGAGTAATTACTAGTTTGTGTAGGTGACGTTGAGGTAATGAACAAGCCAAGAGGGTCCATGCTGATTCTTTGTACATCCATCAGGCAATGCTATGATTCTGCTGGCTTAATTATTACACCTTGTAAAGATGAATGCGGGGAACATGCCTGCCTTGTCGGCAGCCTCCCAGGGGACTGGTACTGAGTAATTGCTTTCCAGCCCTGTAGGAATCATCTACATGGAGCCACAGGCACCATCTGGCTCTCCATTCCTCCTCCACATGCCTTAGCAAGCCTCCTGGGGACAAGATGAGGTATTGGGGGTGGCAGTTACCATCAATAAGCTGGTGACATCTTATCCTCTTCTTTATTCTAATCACAAATTTTATATTATTAAATATTCGTGATCCCAGAAACACTGTGCTAAATATATAAAAAATCAATGTACATGTATATATTATATCACAGGCTACTACAACATCATATATAACACACTATTAAATATTAAATATATTTATACATAAACATAAATATGGACTAAGTTTACTTATACTGAGGTGAGATTGTTTTGGGATATAGAGTAAAGAGTCACACATGAATAGGTAGGAAATATTTAATAGACACCACTGTAGAATTTGTCTTGTTTTCTGAGGAAAGTACATTCCTTTAAATCTCTCTTATCACAAAAAATTCAACATAAAATCCTGTTGGATTAAAAAGTTAAATATTAAAATATTAGATGAAAAATTTGGATATGAGAATTTATATCCTTGGCTGGTCTTACTATATACAAAGCAAATGGAAGAAGTATAGACAAAAGTCCACTGATAATTTCTACAGTATGAGAATTTTCACCCTGTCCAGGCCAAAACCATGATACTTACTTACAAGGAGAACAGGAAACTGAGAAAGTATTATATTAAAAATAAAGCAGACAAGAGACTATTATATAGCAGCTACTATAAGGAGATCCTCTCTTTAATATAAGGAACTGGCAAATAAATCCCTGTGTTTCATTGAAGGACAGCGCTTAGAAAGATTCAAGAGCTCTAACATATAGTAGACAATAACTGTTGAATTGTTAAAAATTAATTAACAAAAGGAGGAATGGACAAAGAGCACACTCAGACAATTCACATGGAAGGAACTGTAAAGGATTAATGTACTGGATGCTGTGGGTCCCGTGCCCAGATCTGCTCTACTGGCCAACAGTCCATTATCTTCTGGTTCAAATACTTCTGGGAGTATGTATATATTGCTTCTATGATGAAATAGTAATATAAAATAATTTTTGTCAGTATATTGAATAACATGGAAATATCATTACATAATATGAGAAATCAGGAATCAGGGCAGTAAACAGGCTAAGTTAATGGCATTCACGTAAACTTGGTGCTGAGAAAATGTACCTTTTCTTTTTCTTTTGATATGGAGTTACACTCTGTCACCCAGACTGGAGTGCAGTGGCACCATCTTGGCTCACTGCAACCTCTGCCTTCAGGGTTCAAGCGATTCTCCTACCTCAGCCTCCTGAGTAGCTGGGACTACAGGCATATGCTACCACGCCCGGCAAATCTTTGTATTTTTGTAGAGACGGGGTTTAGCCATGCTGGCCAGGCTGGTCTCGAACTCCTGACCTCAGGTGATCTGCCTGCCTTGGCCTCCCAAAGTGCTGGGATCACAGGCATGAGCCACTGTGCCAGGATGAAAATTTATCCTTTTCTCTTATGCTATGCTTCTTGGATTCCTTATAAAATGACCAATGGACTACTATATGAAAGGACTAATGTATCCAGCCCTGAAAAAATACCATCAATATTTGAGAAACATAAATATTTAGCTAAATATTAGTGAGAAGAGAAATTGTTTGAAGGGAAACACCAGGAACTATCTTGGAAGCCTCTCACTTGAGAAATAAACACAGCATGATTACATGACAATGCTCACAGTATCCTACAAACCCCGCACTGGTGGGTACAGGTGTGAAGGCCATAGGAGTAGGTTGCTCTATCTTATGAAGCAGCTACCCAAGTAAACTATGGCTCATCTTCCTGACCTGGAGCTTCATTTCAATAATGCCGTGGGTAGCTGCTCAAGGAGGGTCATGTATCCATGGTCACACTATGTACCTGATACAGAGACCAGTCCAAACAGAAAGTTAAACACAGAAAATGGCCATGTCCTTCAAGTGTCTGGATCAATGAACCAGCCACATGAACCTATGACTGTAATATCCAGTCTTCCAGGTTAAGAGATGAGATAGGGTTCTTAAAAAATAAAAATTAAAAATTGGATGTGAAAATATACTAGAATCTAGCCACCATTATTTCATGTTTATGGTCAAATATCTGGCCTACTTCATAGTCTCTATGTTCAATTCTGAATAAATATGAAAAGGAATAAAAACATTTCAAAAGATTGAGCCCTGAAGATACTGTGATGTATATGTATATAGATATAAATATATATATTTAGAAATATTTTATATTTATATGTATAGAAATATATATATATAAAAGCAAAACGAAGAGAAGGAGCATACATTTGGGAAAATATTTACTAGAGCAAACACAAGTGAAGCATCTGGTTTATAGGATCAATAAAATTCCTTGAAACAATAACTCTATAAACAATGAGACAAAAATGCCAGAGAATGAGATAAAACAGGAGCTAGACACATGCAGAAACAAAACAAGAACAGGGTAGGCTAACATAACACTGAGAAATAAAAATACCATAACAATATTAAAATCTTTATTAGAAAACGAGCACATAAATGTCAGATCAGAAAAAGCAAACCACTGGTACAGGAACAAACCCTTTAAATTCTCCCAGAATGAAGAGGCACAAAAGACAAACAGATTCTTAGACTAAGAAAGAAGACAACATATATGAAAAGCAAACTCAAGTAGTATAAACTGATGTTCCAGAGGAAGAGGCCAAGCAGACCCAAGAGAAATAAGAATTAAGGGCAAAGTGGAAGGAAACATTTCCAGATCTGTCTATTTAATATAATTCTTGATATTCCCAGGGGAAGTTATGAAATGTTATCAATGTGCACTCATATTATATTGAGCTAATTTTGGGGGGCAATTTCAAGAGGAGAGAAAAAGTACCTTAGAACTGCCAGGACGATAAAACCAAAAGAGCAATAATTTCTTTTCTTTTCTTTTTGCAGAGACAGAGTCTTGCTATGTTGTCTAGGCTGGTCTGGAACTTCTGCACTCAAGAGATCCTCCTACCTCAGCCTCCCAAGGCTCTGGGATCACAGGCATGAGCCACTGTGCTTGGCCAATAATTTCTTACAAAGAAATAAAACTCAGGCCACTCTTACACGTTATGTCACATACCAGAAGGTAGGAAAAGGTATACAGAGTTTTGAAGGAAAACAGGATTAATGAATTCTATACAATCACCCAAGTCCTTGGGTAAAGTCAATAGAAGGATATTTTGAAATGCATGTGTATATGAAGCATATATGCATCTCAAAAGTATTGCTAAAATATATGTTCTAGTCATTCAAGATGAAAACCAAAATGAAAAGCATCCAAAAGGGGGAGACCTAGTTAAAAGAAGAAAAGACTAGCAGTAAGCATTAAGAGTAATACAATGTGGTAATAAATCTAATTATTCACTCTTTCAATCCCTTATTAAATTAACATTTATTGATTGCTTACTAGATACAAATAAATATTTATTCTAAATATTGTAACAGAACAAATTTCCAAGAATATAAATATTGAAAGAAAAGACTAACTCAAACCTGGGAAAATATTTCACCATGGTTAAAGATAAGTTGTATCCATATTATTGAAAGAGTTTTCATAAATTTATAAGTAGAAAAACAGATAACGGTCATATAGAGAAAATTTAAACCAGATAGACAAATTACCAAGAATTGTTTTTTCAAAGATTCTATGTTGTTCACAAAGAAATAGATATCAAAACAATAAGAGGCCATTTGTTAACTATTAAATGAGTAATCATCTTAAAATTTGTACTATTTAGTAGTGAGAAATATTTGATGCAGTGAGTACTCAAATATGACTGTGGGAGTATAATTTTACACCACCTTTTTGAGAGGTAATATGAAAAATAAAAACTTTAAAGTGAGTATTTTGACCTATAAGTTACATATCTTAGAGAACTGAAAAATAATTTTTTTATTTTATTTATTGATTGATTTATTTTATTTATTTATTATAAGTATATGATACTATGCAGCCATTAAAATAAAGTTTTAAAGACTGTTAGAATGTTAGAGCATTTATTATTAAAAAAAGAAAAAGCATATTATAATATATAGTATAATTCTTTTTAAAAATATGTAATGCAGTAAAGTAATGAAATGAACTATGCCAAAAATTAAAGGTAACAGTATCTTTAGGTTTTGAATTTATGGGTAATAGTTATTTTCTTCTTTATACTTTTTTGCATTCTGGGAAAGATTGCTAGCTCTCTCCCAATAACCAGTCTTCTTTTCTTTCTGTAGAACCACCAATTTTACATGGGCATAGGATTAACTAGAATTAAGATGAAACTTCCCAGTTTTCTGTTGTGGCTGAGCACAGACTAATGAATTTTAAATGGAGATAATATGTGTCACTTCTGGGAATGTCCAGAGTATCCTTTCCTCTGTTCTCCTTCTTACTGGAAGGTGACTGTGAAGTCTGGAGCTGAAGCAGCCATCTTAGATCAGGAGGTGGAAGCAATGTTGGAGGACAGCAGCATAGCAACAATATGGAGGGAGTCCAGGTTAGGAGTCCTGAACACCACGGAGAACCACGTCAGCTCTTGCCTAATTATCTCAGAGTAGAAATAAACTCTAATCATAAGACACTTGGATGTCTGTTAGAGTAGCTAGACCCATATCCTAATTAATACTCATACTTTCCAAAAGTCCTACCATGATCCCTTATTAATTTTATGAGAAAAAATAGTATTAAAAGAAAAAGAAGTAGGAGTTTAATTAAAAGCAGTTGGGACAAGATCCAACTTTGGCTTATAGTCCAAAAAGCCACCCAAAAAGCCACAACCAAGAAAAACATCTACCAACCCCTTTGATTGATTATTTTCCCTTGCTTTGCATGCTTATTTTTTACCCAAGTGGATTTCAAGCAATACAATCTATTTACATCCTGGCTCCATATTGCTGTTACTGTTTTTCTTTGCCGGATATAACATAAAATGAAGATTATTTCATTATTGACCAAACATCAAAACAAAGAATTGACTTCAAACAACTTCCTTTTCAAGATCTAAAGAAACAGAAAAAGTTGGTTATATTCCTTTATTGTCTCCAAATGCAAATTTAAAATGTCAGATGACTTAAAATCTGAGAACCAAAGGCTTTTCTTTTACTCAACAGGTGACCTAGCCCAGGATTAACAGTGAGATGTATAACCTTGTCCTCCAATGAGGTAATAAAAGTCAAGAATAGGATCATAAGGGAAAGAAGCATGATTTATACACTTTGGATTGCTTCTGTTTCATCTTTGTGATTCTCTTGTTTTTATTAAAAACTAAAACTGGCAGGCAGTAGAACACCAATGCTTGACATACACCTCATCTTCCCAGAAGGTATGACTTATGCTGTTGGATAAACTGCACTACATACAAACATATAGTACATGGTAATACTAAATGTATATAATAGTTATGAGGTATGGAATGTAAAATGGATAATTTGAGCATTTTAACATGTTTGTGTGTATTTGTATATGCATGTAAATAAATAAGGCTGATTTAAAATTTTTTTTTAAATATTTCAGTTTAGATTTTCCTATGATAGTTTATCTAAAGTTTTTTCTTTAATGAATATGATAGGGAGTTGCCAAGTATATTAGAAGTGCACACAAATAAAATGGAAAATCAAACCTCCCTACAATTGAGTTAGTAGGTAGACAGCATTTAGAACAATCCCTGTTGTTGTAGTAGGTATGTTTTGTCTTTTTACAGTACAATGTTAAAAAATAAAATGAAAGTAGACATCTAAATAGAAGCACTTATGTGTTGAATGATAAGTGTGTCAGGAATTATGTGTTACTTTAAAACCAAAAAAAAGTAAAAGGCAATGCAACCATACCAAGAAAATAACACTAGAAAACATCTTCATGCAAGTTCTAAGCCAAAGTTACAAAGTCTCTTTGGAAACAGATTAAGGAGCAGAGAGAAAGGCTACCTAATTGAACTATTTATATAGATCGTTGTTCTTTAGTGTGTAAAGATTTATTGGTAAAAATGAGTCTCAAAGTTTAAGGGGATCTAGTAAACAAACAGCTTCAATTTCTATGAACTTAAAAAAAAATCTGATCTTTGCTGCTGAATTATGAACAGAGTCCATGACATCTATGTTAAGAAGGTTTTAAAAAAATAAAACAGTAGCACAAGAGAAAACAGAAAAAAATGTATTAAAAAGAGCTCTGGGTTTACTTACATGATGTTTCTTTACACTAATAAGAAATCTTAGTGATTTTAAAAGAAGGGCTCATAACATCTCCAAAACACACCTATTTGCCAACTGCAAATGTTGATAAGCTGTTTTATAGATGCCCAACATGACATTGTTTTGAGTGCTAAACACATAGCTTTGAAAAAAATATGCTAATGTTGTTTATTCCAATACTTATTTAATTTGCAATGCCATCTTACTCCAAATAGGATTTTTACTTTTAGAAAGGTTATTAATTTTTTTATGTAGCCATAGAAAGGTACACAGGCCAGAAAAGAACTAGCTATCCAGAAGGCCAAAGATAACCAGTGAGATTCTCAACATGGAAGTTTAATCTTCTTGAGCACTACTGCTTAATGCTTCCTGATCCTTTCCAGGGAAATGGCTTTATTCCGAAATTTAATGTGTGATCCAAACAAGGAAGTTAATTTGGCTTGCTGCAAGTCCTTGCCATGGGTAGGCCAGCTACCCTGGCTAGGCCTTGGCCAAGCAGTTTCAATCTGAAAAAGAAACAAACAAATCCATCCTCCTTTATATTTTCCTTTTAATTTGTAATAATTAAATGCTTAATATTTAATAACCTATGTCAAAAAACAGGGTTTCAAAGTGGAACTTAGTACTGAATGTTGGATTCTGAAGACAAATCAAATTCAATACTTATATTTAAGACACTTGTTTTTATATTTATATAAAACAAGTATTTACATTTCCTGGAAGGCTATATTGTTTAAATATGTAGAATCAAAATTTCTTGCAGTCATTTGATCCAGGTCATTTTGTAGTTTACTGGTTTAGTTATTTGAATTGAAAAAATTAAATGACATAAGCCTTACAGTTAAAAACCCAAATAGAAAATAGTAGAGTTAAGAGAATCATGCCCACACCATGCAGTTCTTGTATTACCAACCTCAACACATAACCCCTTTTTTCACTTCTTTTTAAAAAACTTTTTTTTTTTTTTTGAGACAGAGTTTCGCTCTTGTTGCCCAGGTTGGAGTGCAATTGTGTGACCTCTGCTCAATGCAACCTCTGCCTCCAGGTTCAAGCAATCCTCCTGCCTCAGCCTCCCAAGTAGCTGGGATTACAGGCTCCTGCCACCAAGCCCAGCTAATTTTTGTATTTTTAATAGAGACGGGGTTTCACCATGTTGGCCAGGCTGGTCTCGAACTCCTGACCTCAGGTGATCCGCCCGCCTCAGCCTCTGAAAGTGTTGGGATTACAGGCGTGAGCCACCATGCCCTGCCTAAATAACATTTTATTGTGATATGTAACACACATATGTAAAATGCATTAAGAAATGTACAGCTAAACAAATCATTATGAAGTGAATACCCAGATCAAGAGATGGAACACTGCCAGCACCCCAAAGACGCCTCATCTGCTCCTCACCAAAGATAACCACTAACCTGCCTTCTAGGGCAGTTCCTTTCTTACTTTTCTTTTTACTTCATCCTGATAGTTGCATCCCGATACATCATAGTTTAGTTGTGCCTGTGTGCCCTTTATGTAAGTGAACTTACATACAATTAATTTTATGTATTATTTTGTATATGACTTTCTTCACTCAACATTATATTTGAGAGATTCAACCTGTGGAGTGCGTTTATAGTGTATTCATTTCCATCACTGTATAATACTATTTTATATGAACATACTATAATTTGTTTTTTTATTATGGTAAAGTACATGTAACAAAATTTACAGTTTTAACCATTTTAAGCATACAGTTCAGTGGCATTAAGTAGACTCACAATGTTGTGTAACCATTACCACTATTTCCAAAACATTTTTCATCATCCCATACAGAAACACTGTGCTCATTAAATAATAATTCCCTATTCTTCCTTCTCCCCAGTCCCTTGTAATCTCACTTTCTGTCTTTGTGAATATGCCTATTTTAATCCTACAATATTTGTCCGTTGTGACTGGCTTACTTCACTCAGTGTAATGTTTCCAAGCTTCATCTGTCTTCTAGGAAATATCAGACTTTCATGGCTTTTTTAAGGCTAAATAGTTTTGCTTATCCATTTATCTGGGATGGACATTTGAGTTTCCAGTTTTTGTTGATTGTGAATAGTTTTGCTAGGAACACTGGCATACAAGTATTTGTTAGAGTCCCTGCTTTCAATTCTTTTGCAAATATATCTAGGTATGGAACACTGGATCATATGATGATTCTATGTTTAACTTTTTGAGGAATGGATAAACTTTTTTCCACAGCAGCTGGACCATTTTACATTCCCACCAGCAATGCACAAAAGTTCTAATTTTTCTACATCCTTGCCAACACTTGCTATTTTCTGTTTTGTTTTTTTTTTTAAAAAACACTGTATAGTCGTGTTTATTTTGCTGCTGGTGGATATTTAATTTAGGTTATTTCTGGTCTGAGGCTACTGAGAATAATGTTAAGAAGAGCATTCTTATGCCTGTTTCCTAGGGTGGAGGAGAATATATTTCCAACAGTGCATACCTGGAATTGGGGTTGCTTAGCCATAACACACGTGTATGTTCACCTTTAATAGAAAATATATTCATAACATGGTTTTGTCCAAGTGTTTACACCAATCTTCACCCTACCAGCATGCATCCAAGTCCCTAGTGCCCTTGCTATTGTAAGAAAATTTAATTTTGGCCAGCTGATGGACATATAGTGATAGCTTCTCCTGGTATTAATTTGCATTATTATTCATGATGTTGAACACTTTTATACATTTATTGGCTGTTTGATATCCTCTTTTATGAATAGACTGGTCAAAAATCTTTGTCTACTTTTTTCCCAGTGCATTATCTGTCATTTTCCTATATAGTTTTAGAAGTTACATTTATGTCTTGGCAAGCTCTTCATCAGTTACATGTATCACAGATACTTAATTTGTTTCTTATGTGTGTCTGCAAAGTTGTTTTAAAAATGTCCATACAGGCTAATTCAAATATATATATATACATAATATAAATATATAATATATAAATGCATTATATAAATATAATATATATTTTTATATATTATATAAATATATATTTATATAATATATTTATATATATGATTGTTTCTTTGTTCACACAAAAAAACAGTATCATACACATTTTTCTGCACCTTGCTTTTGTTTTCCCTTACCAATGTACTTGAAGAGTTTAACCAATCAGTATAAGGGGATATGCTCTAATTCTTTTGTATAGCTGTATAATATTTTATTGCAGCATTTATTGCACTAGTCCCTCATTGACCCTTATGCAACTCCCATTTACAAATAATTCTGCAATGAACATTTCTGTACATATTTCATTTTGCAAGCATATCTGGAGGATAAATTTTCAGAGGTAGGATTGGTGGGTTAAAGCATACACTTTTGATAGATATGCCAAAAACCTCTAGGGATTATACCCCCTGCATTCCTCAACTTCCAGCAATGCTAGTGCTCTTTCTGGACAACCCACAGTATATTGTCACCCCTTTGCACTTTTACCAGTCTATGAAGAGAACATTGGTATTGGGTTGTAGTTTTAGATTGTGATTTTTAAAATTATGAATGGAGAGCTTCAGTCTCATATGTTTAAAGGCCTTTTAAATCCATATTTCTCTTGAGTGTTATGGCTTTCCCTATTAACAGTATCAACTATATTAGTTCTGTAATATTAAACATTAACATGCTTAGGAATTTCTGGGGAATCTCAGTAAAATGCAAATTCTGATTCAGTATGTCTGGGTTGGGGTTGGAGTCTGAGATTCTGCACTTATAACAAACTTAGTGTCAAAACTGTGAGTCTAAGAAATATATTAAAGTAGCATTTATATATCTAAGAAATATATTAGAGTAGCATTTATATATATAGAAATATCTTAGAGTAGCATTTATATATCTAAGAAATATATTAGAGTAGCATTTATGTTGTGAAACATTTACAGTAATTTAAAGAGGAAATTTGAAATAAATCATCAAGTACAATAACTATTCATTTAAAATAATCCAGACTTAGGATGCTATGCTCAAAATACCTTCTCTTTTATACATGGCTTGGTATGATGGGATCCTCATATACGATGATTTCACATATAATTTTCATGTGTGCAAAGGGAATTGAACTATTGGAGAAATGCAATGTAAACCCCGTCTCTACTAAAAATACAAAACTTAGCTGGGCTTGGTGGTGTGCACCTGTAGTCCCAGCTACTCAGGAGGTTGAGGCAGGAGAGTCACTTGAACCCAGGAGGTGGAGGCTGCAGTGAGCCGAGATCGTGCCACTGCACTCCAGCCTGGCAACAGAGTGAGACTCCATCTCTAACAATAATAATAATAATAATAATAATAATAAGAAGAAGAAGAAGAAGAAGAAGAAGAAGAAGAAGAAGAAGAAGAAGAAGAAGAAGAAGAAAAGAAGAAGACGAAGAAGCTACCCAAGAGTGGGGTTAAGATTAAAATCAAGGATATAGAAGTCCAACTCCTGAATTCCAGCAGTATTTCATGGCGGGGCTATGGTTGTGCTGTTGTATATATGAATCCTTTACAGTACTGGGCTTGGTGATTCAGGCTGAGGGCCAATTTCTGAAGATGGGCACAAAGGATGCACTCGAGGCCTATCTCCAACATAGCCCATTGGCTTCCCTTACATCCCATTTTATCAAACAAAACAACATATTTTGGAAAAAAGCTCAAATAGAGCTTTGGACAACCAATAGAATTTGTACTTTAAATATTATGCAAAAATCTCATTTAAGGAGTTAACAGTGTAAAAAAAGAACACTCAAAAGAAGAAATCCATGAGGAAATTTCCATTGTATGACATAACAATGAAAGGAGCAGCAGCCACAGATAATATGTATTAAGTGCTTATCAAGTGCTTTCTATATAATTGCACATTTAATCCTCACAACCATACTGTGAGGCAGGTTTCCCAAGCAGCACTCTACATGTAGCAAAGGATACAGCAGAAAAATGGAATATTATGTTTCATTATTCTCACATGTGAATAACATGTGTGCACAAAAAAAGTTTAAATTTTATCCCCTTGATAGCATTTGGAAATAAAACATGGAAAACTAGCTTTTTAACTGGAGATGTTGATCTGATACAATTTTATCTTTCAAATCAGTGGGAATTCCTGCAGAAATACATTTTGGAAAGGAAAACACCTTCAAATTTTAAGAACATTTTTAATTAATCTTTTTTGTTTTAAGTTTTGCTTTCAAAATAGTAAAGATGCTGGGGTTTAGAATAATCTTGACAGTGCATCTTATCTGAATGTTCCTCACTTTAGTTTTATAAACCTACTCAGAGCAAGAAAAAATAAATCAAGAGGAAAAATAAAAATTTCCCAATAAAAAGAAAGTCAGTGAGGTGTGAATGTTCTGTCTTATCTGGCTTGTAAGTGGTGATGAAAAAAAAAAAGGAAAAAATATAATACCCTTGACACTGACAAAAGATAAAGTAAAAAAATAAAAGCCAGCAGGTGTTCAGTGAAATGTCCTTCTGATAGGCCTAGTTCACACAGTTGGTTATACCCTCTAGACAGCTCCCCCACAGGGACAATGCACCATCTGCAAAGGAAATAGCAGTAACTTTCCGGGCTTAGGTTAAAACCCTTTACTGATTTTCAGGTTAAGACAGAAGATAAAAACTACTTCACAGAATACATTTAAACATGGGCAAAACAGTTATAAACAAAATAAAACAAGAACATACAAGAAACAAAGCTAGACCTAATGCAGTAACTCTGACAGCTAAGAAAATAACAGAAATTTCTAGGGCAGAGCAAGTCACTGACTCCTAACACTGATGCCTCCTCCAAGTCAATGGTTGAGTCCAAACTTACTGAGAATTCTTGTTCATAACCACAAATTGAGAAAGAAACAAGTTGAATGGGTGTCCTGGTAGTTTCCCTAGTCTGAGTAATAGCAAAGATGCTTCTCACTGAGGACAATAGGAAACAATAATTTCTTTGAATTAAGGGAAGAATTCATCCACTGCTTCAGAATGATTTGAGAAAGCTAATGAAGCCTGACCATGTGCCGCTTCACACACACACACACACACACACACACACACACACACTCACGCTGATGCAAAGCAAACCTGGTACTGGACATTTAACAAAGTATCGGGAGAGAAAATAGACCTGAAATTCTAGAAAGAACATATATGACATCAGTATTCCCTTCAGCCTCCCTTCTCAAGAAAATCAGAAAGAACGTGAAATATTCAGCTCTCAAACCAAAAAGCCTGTGAAAAAGAAGCATTCTGTTCTCAGATAAAGAAAGACAAGAAGTCACCAATACTTTAAAAGACAAGAGAGAATGTTTGAAAAGGGGCATCGAAGCAAGATTTTTAAAAAAGGGCAAAACAACTATGAAAAATATCCTTGTCCAGAGGAAAATAAAGAGAAGACTTTTTCAAGCATCCAGGCACGAAAAGCAAATAACTCATCGCAGGGAAAGAACAGGTTCTCCTCAGACTTCTGCACAGCAATATTTAGTGCTAGAAGCCCATGGAGCAATGGCTACAAATGTGACTCCAAAAATATTATATTATGCTAAAGTATTAATTTTTAAGGCAAATGGCTGACATTGGCCAACATGGAAGATCTCATAAAACACATACACTTCTGAACCCTTCCTAAAAATATTAAAAAAATAGACCTTGATGATGAAATAGAGACAATTTAGAGAAGAAGCAAGATGAATAATTTAAGAATGCAAAGCCCTGGCAAATGAGGCAGGAGAACATTGATCTTATTTAAATATAGTGCTAGTACTAATGAAATATGGAAATCATGGTTCAAGTCACCATGAATGTTTTAGAGATACACAGTGTAAAAAAAAAACGACACAAGTAACAAAAATCCAAACAGAGGCAGAGAGGGAGGGACACACAAGGGGACAAACGTTCTCATGCTTCACAGAGAGGCAATCAATATTAAAACAAAAATTTTAAGGCTTCATGTTAAAATAGTATCTGTATAATTAGTTTTTATAAAACTATTTTATATGCTTTTATCTATATTGATAATTGCATGTATATTTAAAATGATGTTAAGCCAATGAAATAATGGTTGTTTCTGGGTGGTAGACTTGGGGCTCTGATTTTGTGATTTTTTTCACTATTTGACACACATACAAACACAAATGTGTGTGTGTGGTGCAAAAACAATGACACGCTTTAAAAAATACTGAGAGCAAATATGGAAAGTTGCTAACAGTGGTTATTCATGATTTAAAATGAGTTTTTCCACTGAAAATATCCAGCTAGTTTCTTCTGCCTCCATTCATCACTTCTACTAATTTCAGTATGATGATTTTTTCTCCTATATCTTCCTATTACTTTCAATAGTATTAACATATGGAGATACATTTGCATCTTCTGAGTCATTAGTTCTATGAACTATTGTTGTCTGAATGTTACAGATCAGGAAACAGATTTTCCCAAGTACACTTTATATGGAAGAGGGAACATCAGAATCCATATCCATTCCATACCAGTGCCCATGGCACTTACACCATACATTTTAGAAACAATTCATATGCTCACTCCGGTTTTTAAAACTAATCCATGCAGAACTGTAATATCTTTGAAGCCTACAGGAAATCAACTTCTTGAAATAAATGAAAATTGTGATTGCTCCAAAAATACAATATTCCAGAGGAGCTTTGAAAAATTCAAATCTAAGGGAACACATAAGAGGCAGTTCTTTATATCAGTTCAGCCAGCGGGGTTAGGTTTCCTGCTTATGAAATTTCTCGGGCTGGATGCTTTGAAGTGGCAAAGCAGCACTATTAGTGCCTGCCTATATTATCACCAAATTGGCAATTGATTTTGCACCATAAAAGCTTAGAAGTGAATTACTGTTGCCAAATGATGTATATATAAAATATAGCCTCTACCATAAAAGAAGTAAAAATAGCAATCAGAAATTAGTATAAAAAGCAACTCAATTTTTCCAATTTCAACTTCGAGACCTTTAGACTTAAGTCCATCAGAGCCAAAAGGAAGTTATTGTTGGTTAATATTAATGAAATGAAAAGCCAAGTCATAAAATGACGGTTACATACATGCAAGATTTGGTAGGCTGAAAGCCTTTAAATATAGATTTGGTTACTCGCCAACTTCCTTGTTAAAATTTAGTTCATCCAGCTTTAATGATGATTATCTCCAAAGGGTAGAATTTGAAACAAATTTTCTCATGTATTCAACAATCTTTGTTGTTCATTATTGCTGTCTCTTAAACTTATTATTGCATCAGTCTGTATTTGGGGAATTGGTACATTTTAATTGTCATTGCTTTACTTTTATTTGCTCTCCTTTGTGTCAGGAATGAGTACATCCACTGAAAATGGGGAAGTCATACATACATGTGCTGCATGCTCCTCACCAGATGTTTTGCACTCAGAGGGAGCAAAAACACTAACGATGGCAGAGTATTCATGTACTGATTGTATGATTGCATGATTGTACTGATTGCATGAAATGTTGGCCATTTCAGCAATTACATTTAACTTAGCAGGGACTTCAATATTTTTTATTTCTTCAATCAACAGCTATCACCCCAAGTTTGAGACAAGCAAAAGGTACTACACTTCTGATATCTGATAAATTTGGTGCGAGGACATTTCCTTAGCATTTCCAACAAACTCCAACACTGGAAAGAATAGGAGAAAACAACCTGGGAAACTGGTTTGGAGTGTAGTTTTCTAATGTGGGTATACTCGAGGTCAATTGGCTAAATATACTTCTTCAGCAGGAATTACTGTTGTTTCAACTTTAATAGCACAGCACTGAGAAACATCTTACAAGGACTGATGCTGAACGAGTGAAACAGAGACAACCATAAAGGTGGTGGTTCGAATGATTCTGCCCTATCCATTGCCCCTCCTGTATACTGGTCACCATAATAAAGCTCCTTATTACCATCTTGGATTTTTTTTCTATCTTTTGTACCTTCCTATGATACCTTTGTTGGATTAACAAAACATACTGCAATATCTGCATTATCAACAGTGATAATATTACCCTAGTCTAATCCTCTCAAGGCACAAAACATATGCTCTCTATTCACCTAATAACTCTACTTACCAATATGAAAATGATCTTTCCAAGTAAACATATTCTTAGTTAACTGTTCTTGACCGTTTTCCTTAGACACAATTCTTAAAGGGTCCAGTTTTTCTTTCCCTCCACCCATATCTAAGCTCTTCTTTTTGCCCCAAAGACTGGCTTGATCAAGGTCTTTGAAGGACAAAACTGTAAGCCATTAGACGCCTAAGTGATGCTATGCATAATACTAAAAGCAAAAAAAATCTTGAAAGGATGACACAAACGTACATATCAAACTGTTCTTAGTCATTATTCCTTAGAAATCTTTCCCTCCCCACTTCCTCTTTCTTTCTTCAGAGCCTGTGTAGGTGGAATGTGCTACTTGATAAATGCAGTCTAATTATATAACCTCACTTCTTCTTTTACAAGACATTACACCAGGGTTACCTTAGTTTGTCCCTGTTATGTAATTGGATTGTAGGATGCTTCAGCCCATACACCTACATGAATATTAATTTTATTTCTGTCTTGGTTGGTTCCAAGAGATTCAAGCTTTAATTTTACATACTTTTAAAGACAACTTTGTTTCTGGAGACAAGACTCTCTACCTTGCCTCTTTTCTCTATTAATCAAACATTTTATAAATCAAGCTCTCTTATGACCCAGCTATTATATATGTGCTACTTCTTTGAGGAGCCTCTGCAGAAATTTCTCCACTTAAGATCAAAGACTCAAAAAGTAATAACAATGAGAGGAACAAATAAGAACCATGAACTTAAAGTAATATAAATGGTTTTCCATAAAATAAATTTAACCTGGTTTTAAGGTTTTCATTCATTCTAAAGCATGGATTCTTAATTCTATCAGGAATTACAATGGGATATTGAGATTCTACTGGAGGTAGGTATGTACACACCCTTCATGGAAGTAGAGATGGCCAACAATTTCAATCATATAACCTACTATTGAATGCCTTAAATTCTCATATTACAAAATCAACAAAAGAAGATGAGGTTAGACTAAACTGCCAAAAGAAAAATTGAAGGAAGCCAAAGTGTAATCGTCCTCATCTCTTTTATTCCCACATTTCTTCTAGGCAAACCAAAAGCATCTAAGGGAATGATGTCTACCACTGTCAGTGAAACATTGTAGACAAAAATTTAAAATAGCAAACAAAACACAATGGCACAGAAATCAACACACAGCCATGGTTGAAAAATGTTCAGTATTTTTATCCTGAGTTTATGCACAACAATGCATTCTTCTAAGCAGCACGGGGGTTGGTAACTGCTGTGGGTAATTTCTTCCATATTTGCGTAGGTTTGTTTTGCTCTATCAGCAAAAGGGGTACAAGATGGGATTGAGGCCAATTATGTAACAGTGGCTCCATAATTTTTTAAATGCTACTATATAACTGAGGCATTTAATCAAGTCAGATTAATTATTTCAAACCCTATTGACAGAAATAAGCAAGAATCTTCTACCAGTATTCACTTTCAAAAAGTAGAAGAGGAAACATTGGATTTAAGTCACAGACAGCAGGATAAACACACACTAAAGAATAAATACCAAAGAATGAAAACTTAAGATCTTCATCTTAAGAATTCTCATCACTGAGTTTTCTTTGAAGAATGTGATTCCTATTTTTTTCAGATTAATCAGTATATTGACTGATTAATCAATCTACTTATCTATCAATCTAAGCACATATAGTTTCTCCTCATTAACTGAAGATGCTGTAACATATATGAAAATCTCTGTCCAAAATTCCCCAAACCTTGTCCAGTATCAACAGTCTTGGAGATTTGCATTCCCATTTATTACATGCCCATGTTACATAACAATCAGCATCAACCTTGACTTGAATCTAAGTCAGCTAACTCTTTTCCTTTCCCTTGAATCTTTCAAATTCCTGAAAAAAATATTTTTGAACCAAAAAGAAAGTCTTTTAGGAAGAAAATACACTGTGTACTTAGCAAGTTGAAGGGCAGGGTGTGGGGGAGAAAGAAATGAAGAAAGTCAATGTAATGTGATTAGGAAAGTGATGACAAGAGAAGTCTTTGCACACACAGGTACTCTTAGCACAAGTGTGTGAATCTGGGTCACAGTGCTATGCAACATCTCCGGAACATTATTTTTATTAAGAAGAAATGGCTGTTTTGATAGAGATTGTTTGGTAATCATTCTGGCCACAAATACTAAAAAGTATTATTTTCAATTTAACCCTGGACTAACCCAAAACACAGGTGAATTTTACCACTGATGCAGTACCAAGAAAAGTGTCCTTTTCAGCTCGAATCTACAATCTCCTGATTATAATACCCCCAAATTGTAAAGCTCAGTAGAATTAAATAAGGTTAGCCAGGCTTTTTTTTTTTAAAGGAAAAGATCTACATTTCACAAATAAAGAATGTTTACATTATTATTTATTTCTCAGAGCTTCCTAATTTTGAAAGTTTATTTTGCCATATGCCTGAAGTAGCATTCAGGAGAGGAAGTCAAAATATAACATTAAAATGAAGTGAACATTTTTGTATCTTACTGTGCTGTTGTAACGAAAGCCAAAAATCTGTCTTTGTATCTGGATAGAGATACAAAACTTACGTTTCAGTTTTGACCAAATGATAAAAACAGTAAGCAACAAAATCAGTTTTCAAAAAAAATAGGAAACAAGACAATCAGTTTTCTTTATTACTTTACGACTCCATTTTACTGGCATTAGGTAGTTGCATCGGGTTTCTAAAGCTCTGAGTTATAAGAAAATACAGTCTACAAGTAAAAATAGCATATCTGTAGCCCTTGAAACTCCTTTGACATGCATTATCTCATTTAACTTAATTCTCAACAAAATCCCTTGCAATAGTAATTATTATTACCATTTTGCATATGAGAATACAGAGAATCAAGTTGAGCAAACTAACACAAGAACGAAAAACCAAACACTGCATGTTCTCACTCATAAGCGGGAGTTGAACAATGAGAACACATGGACACAGGGAGGGGAACATCACAGACCGGGGCCTGTCAGGGGTTGGGGGGATGGGGTAGGGATAGCATTAGGAGAAATACCTAATATAGATGACGGGTTGATGGGTGCAGCAAACCACCATGGCACGTGTATACCTATGTAACAAACCTGCACATTCTGCACATGTACCCCAGAAATTAAAGCATAATAAAAAAATTATTTAAAAAAAGTTCTTCATAAATTCTCAGGATCAATAAGTGCAGAGCCAGGTAGACTGAGGAGATAAATTCATTTTCTCTGAAGCAAAGTTGATGTCCCTTCCTCCAAGACTGCCTCAATACATACATGTGCACTGAATATTTTGAAATAGGGCCTTTAAAAATATATCTCATAAATGTCTGAATTTAATCTCATTTTGTATCTGTGAAGTTTTCTCTATTTTTTCAAGGCATTGAGAATTTAAAAAAAATACATAGAGAAAATGACAAAAAACAACCCCATCAAAAAGTGGGCAAAGGAAATGAACAGACACTTCTCAAAAGAAGACATTTATGCAGCCAACAGACACATGAAAAAATGCTCATCATCACTGGCCATCAGAAAAATGCAAATCAAAACCACAATGAGATACCATGTCACACTAGTTAGAATGGCGATCATTAAAAGGTCAGGAAACAACAGGTGCTGGAGAGGATGTGGAGAAATAGGAACACTTTTACACTGTTGGTGGGACTGTAAATTAGTTCAACCATTGTGGAAGACAGTGTGGTGATTCCTCAAGGATCTAGAACTAGAAATACCATTTGATCCAGCCATCCCATTACTGGGTATATACCCAAAAGATTACAAATCATGCTGCTATAAAGACACATGCACACGTATGTTTACTGCAGCACTATTCACAATAGCAAAGACTTGGAACCAGCCCAAATGTCCATCAATGATAGACTGGATTAAGAAAATGTGGCACATATATACCATGGAATACTATGCAGCCATAAAAAAGGATGAGTTCATGTCCTTTGTAGGGACATGGATGAAGCTGGAAACCATCATTCTCAGCAAACTATCACAAGGACAAAAAACCAAACACCGCATGTTCTCACTTATAGGTGGGAATTGAACAATGAGAACACTTGGACACAGGGTGGGGAACATCACACACCGGGGCCGGTCATGAGGTGGGGGGAGAGGGGAGGGATAGCATTAGGAGATATACCTAATGTAAATGATGAGTTAATGGGTGCAGCACACCAACATGACACATGTATACATATGTAACAAACCTGCACGTTGTGCACATGTACCCTAGAACTTAAAGTATAATAATAATAATAATAATAATAAAGACAGATGGAAAGTACCTCTGATTGGTCCTGTCCCACAACCAATCAGACTGGTTGTGGGCCAAGTCTTCATATGTAACTTTGTAACTCTGCTTCAGCCAGTGATTGGTCCTCTCCTAGAGCCAATCAAACTGGTCATGGGCCACTCCTTTATTTACATAGGGTGTAACCAAGTAACCAATAGGCAACCTCTAGAGAGTATTTGAACCCCAGAAAATTCTGTAATCTGGGCTCCTGAGCCACTTGCTCAAGCCCGCTCCCGTTCTGTGGAGTATACTTTTGTTTCAATAAATCTATGCTTTTTTTGCTTTAAAAAAACAAAAGAAAATGACAGAAAATAACATTGTAACATGTATTTCAGGTTGAGTTTTCTAAAACCAGAGTCTGAGACAGGGATTGGGATGCCCGTGATTTCTTGAGAGTGACTCTCAGGAACAGGAGAAGGAGGGAAGCAGAAAGTGAATGAGGCAGAGCTGAGTAAGGCTGTGGCCTCAGCTGGAGTCCACCCTGAGCGTGGACCCAAGGGAGTTCTGGAGCATGGATTATACCACAGAGATGTCCCATCTTGAGGAAAACTGGTTGGGATGTTTGCACTGTGTCAGACAGGCTACCCCGCAGAAGGCAGTGGGTGGGATGTGAACCGTGGGCTAGGAGCAGTTCTCCATAGGACTCAGTTGGGGGCTAATAAAAGCCAACACTAGCAGCAGCTGGAGAATCACCAGCCCAAGGGGATCTGGCACAAAGCCAACATCAACCCTTAAGGCATGATTATTGCTTGCTGAGTATTGACAAGCTATGTTCCTCCACCATTAGAAGGTATCACTGAAGCATTTCTTTTTGGCAGTGTTAACAGGTCATGTCTTGTATTTAAGGTACGGTCATCCCAGATGTACCCATTCTTTTTTTTTCCCTTTTTTTTTTTTTAGACGAAGTCTCGCTCTCGTTGCCCAGACTGGAGTACAATGGCACGATCTAGGCTCATTGCACCCTCCGCCTCCCAGGTTCAAGCGATTCTTGCCTCAGCATCCCAAGTAGCTGGAATTATGGGTGCCTGCCACCATGCCCAGCTAATTTTTGTATTTTTAGTAGAGACAAGGTTTCACCATGTTGGCCAGGCTGGACTCGAACTCCTGACCTCAGGTGGTCCACCCGCCTTGGCCTCCCAAAATGCTGGGATTACAGGCGTGAGCCACTGCACCCGGCCCAGATGTACCCATTCTTAACAGGCAGATGAGATGATAGGTAGGGCATCTGGAGAGAAAGGCTATTTTAAAAGTCCAGTTGGGGAGGTCTTCCTGAAAGGTGGTGGCTTCCATATGCAGTGGATCCATGCCATCTGTGGTAGATTGGTTTCATTAGCACCCCAATTAATAGCCTCCATGTAGCCACATCGTTTGCCCTATAACTTTGTAGCTCCCTCCTACGCTTGCTCTTGGCTTGGCCATAGACTTTCTTTAAGCAACAGGATATTAGCTGACTCGATTCAAGAAGAAATGATGCCTGAGCATTTATGCTTTCTTTTTGCTGCTATGTGATTGCCATGATATTATGACTGGACTAGCCTGAGAAAAACCCAGTGCTAGCCTCTTGGAGGATGAGGTACCATGTGGAGCAGAGCCCATTCTTCTCTGCTGAGAGCCCAGCCACATCATTGCCCCTCCAAGTCAAATGAAACCAACAAGCTAATACAGAGCTGAGTGTAGGCATGTGAATGAGCCCTGATGGGATATGCTCAGATCAGTAGAACCAATGCAACCATATTACTAGAAACTACAAGTAAGTGTTGTAAGCCTGAAGTTCTGGGATGGCTTGTTACATAGCATTATTGTAGCAATGGTTAATCGATACACAACTAAAAATTGCCAACACACAAAGCCTCAACACTGACATCGACTGAAAAAGAAGAACCCAAAGCCTTAACAGCAAGTTAACTTAGCATTTGACTAAATAAAGTAAGGGATTCAAGAAGACAGGCATTCTTACTTAGATTCTAAATAAGTATCCAGGTAAATATGGTTATTTTTACAATAAAAATTAGTCCTCCACCTTACTCTAATGATTGATTTCCACAATGACATTTGTATGATTTCCTAAGGTGATGGTAAAAAAAGTTAAAAATAATAAAAACAATGACTCACAAAACACTAAATACTGTTCCTGCTGTGTTGGCACCTGCTTTTATTGTTAAGTAACTGTTGCTAGGTTAAAGAAAAAGACTATGATTTTGTTAATAATATTATTATGACTTAGCAAAGTTGATAGGAACTGGAGACATGTATTTATGTTCCACCATTCTGGAAATTAGAAATTACTGAAGTTCATATGTTGCAGAATAAAAATTAAAGGACAAGAACACATTAAGATATAAATTTGAGATGCAGTTAGCTACCCATAATAGTAGGTGCCCCAAAATATTTTTTTCAAAGCATAAATGAAATAACAAAAATGCCTGTGAAAGCTCTGTTTTTATATTTTATCCAAGTTCCCTTCTAGCCAAAAATGTGTTCAGTTAGACATGATCAGTGATATAATTATTTGGATAGTAAATGCCTCCCCCACCCATTGGCAAGTCTTAAATGGTACTTCGCCATTCGCTTGTGGAATGAAAAGGCCCTGAATTAGACAATTCAAATGGTAACAACTATCCCAGTGCTTTCATGTGTCAGATTCAGGACCAAGTGTTTTTTTATATGCATTCACTCATTTAATCCTCACAACTGCTCTAAGGAATAGACACTGCTGTTCCCATTTTATGGAGGAGAAGATTGAGATTGTTCAAAATTATGCAGCTAATGACTGGTGTAATTGGTAGAGGTAGGATTAAGTCCAAGAATACCTGCCACTAAAACTGATGATCTTAAACATAGAATTCTGTACAGTGTCAGACAAATGACAAGTATTTTCAGCGTAGCCATTTCCTGGACTTACGAGTAATTTCCTTTTGAGGTAAGAGCTAGAAATAGGGATAGGACTCTCAAGGTTTCCTCATTAATTATCTCCCTGACCCCCTAAAATGCATCTCCAACCATACATGTTGGCAGATTACATGGATTGCTACATTTCCCCAGGGCAGTAGGAGGAAAGCACCAAAATTCTTTAGAATGAAACTTCATATCTGTCATTTGCTAAGGTGAAAATATCCTTTGCTGCCAATAAATATTGACTTACACCACATTAATAAAGAATCAAAATCAGGCATAAGAGATGAACATATGTGTGTGTACCTACATACACACACACAGTCATGTGCCCCATAATGACATTTCAGTCCATGAGAGACTGCCTATATGATAGTGGTCCCATAAGATTATAACAGAGCTGAAAAAATTCCTATAACCTAGTGATGTCATGGCTGCCATAACGTTGCAGAGCAACACATCACTCATGCGTTTATGGTATTGCTGGTACAAGCAAAACTATATTGCTGCTAGTTGTATAAAACTCTAGTACATAAAATTATGTATAGTACATAATACTTGATAATGATAATAAACAACTATGTTACTGGTTTATGTGTTTACTATACTATACTATACATTTCATTATTATTTTAGAGTATACTCTTCCTAATAATTAAAGAAAAAAATTAACTGTAAAACAGTCTCAGGTGGGTCCTTCAGTGGCAATTTCAGAAGAAGGCATTGCTATCATATGAGGTGACAGTTCCATGCATATTATCGCCCCTGCAGACCTTCCAGTGGGACAAGATGTGGAAGTGGAAGATAGTGATATTGATGATGCTGACTCTGTCTGAGTAGGTTAATGTGTGTGTTTGCATCTTAGTTTTTAACAAACAAGTTTAAAAAGTAAAAACTAAATATTTAAAAATTGAAGAAACTTATAGAATAAGTCTGTAAAGAAATAAAATATTTTTGTACAGTTGTACAATGTGTTTGTGTTTCAAGCTGAGTGTTCTTACAAGAGTCAAAAGTTTAAATAATTTAAAAGTTTATAAAGTAAAAAAGTTAAAGTAGCTAAGGTGGATAATTTATTATTGAGGGGAAAAGTTTATTAAAATAAATTTATTTTAGCCTAAGTATACAGTGTTTATAAATTCTCTAGTAGTGTACATTAATGTCCTAGGCCTTCACATTCACTCACCAGTCACTCAACAACTCACCCAGAGCAACTTCCAGGCCTAGGAGCTCCATTCATGGTAAGTGTTTTATACAGGTCCATTGTTCTTTTATCTTTTATATCGTATTTTCAATGTACCTTTTCTATGTTTACATACATTTAGATACATGAATACTTACCATTATGTTACAATTGCTTACAGTATTCAGCACAGTAATATGCTGTACAAGTTTGTACCTAGGAGCAATAAGCTATGCCATATATTTTAGGTATGTAGTAGTCTCTACCATCTAGGTTTGCATAAGTTCAGTCCCTGATGTTCACACAATATCAGAATGAATCCCCAGCATTAAGTGACACATGATTATAATATATAATAAGGAAAGAATTAGCAATTTTTATGTTACATAGTGAAGGCGTTCAAATTTCTCCTAATGGGATTGAGTCAACTGATGTCATATTTGAGGAAATAACCTCAGCATTTGAAAGTGATGTTTAATGTCACAATCTGAAATAATATTGAACCAATTAAAACTTTTATTGATGATATGCTCAGCATCTCCTTTTTAATACAGTCATTTTGATTTTTCTTCTAGTAATGAGAAATTGCCTCATTTCTTAACTACTCCAGAGTTTAACCCAGGCTAATAATCAACAGTTACCAGTTACTGAACACTTACTCTGTGCCAGACACAATTTTTTTTTGGTACTATAGATATTAACTCATTCATTCCCATCTAACAGATGACAAAACTGAGGCTTAGAGAGGTTAAGTAAGTTGTCCAGGATTATTTGGGCAGTCAGTGGCAGAGCTGAAATGTTGCCTGTCCTGCATTAGGAATGTTTATGTGTTCCCCCAAATTCATTTGTTGAAGCCCTTAATCCCCAATGTGATTATATTTAGAGGTGGGGCCTTTGTGAGGTAATTAGGTTTAGATTAGGTCATCAGAGGGGGACCCTCATGATGGAGTTAGAGCCCTTGTAAAAAGAGGAAGACGAATCTTTCTCTCTCTCTCTCATTCTCTTTCTCCCTCATACACAAACAAAAGGAAGGTCAGTTGAACACACAGCAAGAAGGCAGCTGCAAGTCAGAAAGCAGGTCCTCACCAGGAACCAAATCTGTTGGCACTTTCATCTTAGACTTCCCAGCCTCTGGAATGGTGAGAAATAACTGTCTGTTGTTTAAGCCACTCCGTCTATGATATTTTGTTATAGCAGCCTGTACGAAAAGAGAGCTCAAATTTTGGGGAGCATAAAACATTCAGATAATGAAGCTGGGTATTCATATATTTCAAATAGCCAGGTACACCTAGACTCTTCCAGTGACTGAAGGCAATTCTAAATTCTGCTGAGCGGCATGCTCTAAACTATGTCTCCCTGTTTCTCTTTCTTCATTGGGGTTCTCACGAAACAAAGACACCATGGATTATACATTCCCCACTGCTGCATCCCTCTAATATTTGGGTATTTCCTTGTGTTAAGAAGGGAAGAAAGGCCGGGTGCAATGGCTTACACCTGTAATCCTAGCACTTTGGGAGGCCAAGGCAGGTGGATCACCTGAGGTCAGGAGTTCGAGACCAGCCTGACCAACATGGTGAAACCCCGTCTCTACTGAAAATACAATAAAAAAAAAAAGTAGCCTGGCGTGGTGGCATGTGCCTGTTGTCCCAGATATTTGTGAGTCTGAGGCAGGAGAAACAGGCAAATCCTTAAACTCAGGAGGTGGAGGTTGCAGTGAGTTAGCTGAGATCATGCCACTGCACTCCAGCCTGGCAAGACTCTGACAGAGCAAGACTCTGTCTCAAAAACAAACAAACAAACAAACAAAAACGCACATAAAAACAAAAAATGAAGGGAAGGAATAATCCCCAGCTGCCATCAAGAAGAAAGCAGCTAAGAGTGCCCTGTCTGAGATGTATGTGGGGCTACCTGGATGTCTAACTCATAGAGACTTTTGTGATGGATTAGATCTCAATGTCTGGATGACCAATAATACATGGAGACTTGTGTGTCTGATGGACTTTATTTCAATGAGAATTAATCTCAATACTAAATACAATGCTTATCCTCTTGGTTTAAGAAGAAAAGTAAGTTTTCTGTCTTCATTTGTCAGGATTCAGCATTTATTATGTTTTTGTCCTTTCAATTGTTTTAGGATAACAGGTAACCAAATAGGCAAGACTCAGGAGATATCATGCACTCTACCCCACTGTCACCTTCAATAAATTAGGTGGGTTGGTTATTCTTGGGCTCCTAGATAAAAGTCTCCATAAATTTTCTAGTTATACTCTCCCAGATCCCCTGGTCAACCATTAATGGCTCATGGAAAGATCACGTTCATTTCACGTTAAAGCTTCTCTTCATAAGGCTCGACATCAACCGCAAAGCTGGAATCTTATAGGAAGGAAAGAGTTTAATAGCCTTAAGGTATGTTTCCCTAAATAGCTTAGTTAGACATCTCCTTTTCTACCTTGCTAACATGAATTTTGGCACTTAGAGGAGCTTAGTGAAGAGATAAGGGGAGGCAGAGGGGTTCTTACCTGATTGTTAAAGTAGTAACATGTCAATATGCTCTCTAAGCGCGGCAAGTGTATGAAGTTCTCTTTCTCTCTCTCTCTCCTCTTAATGTTTTATTGGGGGCGTTTCTCAGAGTTCCCTATATCAGGTTTGGTTCCCTAAATGTAGAGCCTGAGACAGGGATTCTTGTGCAAATGATTTTTGAGGAAGTGCTCTCAGAAGAACCCTCTAAAAGATCAAGAGAAGCAGAAGGGGGCAGTAGAAGGAGCTTGACAAACATGTTGTTTCAGATGAAATTTAGTCCCCACCCGATCCCTTGGAGACCTCTGGAGCATGGATTGCAACACAAGGGCTGTGAGGTCTTGAGGCAAGGCAGCCGTGCTTTCTTTTATACCTCTGCATTTTTCGGTCGCTGACCATGGGCAGTCTCCAGATTGGTGGAAGGCATAAACTACAAGGCATCTCTGGGAAAGGGGACTCCTGTCAGCCCAGGGCAGTTGGCCAGAGAATGGGGGCAGCTATGAGTTTCTAGTAACTGGTACCCGCAGCAGCTTGAGAATGAATGCACATGCCTTGGGTATAGAAGTTATAGATGACATGAACAACACTGCTAACCACGCTCCCACAAGAGCTCTTTCTTTAGGAGCTCTTTGGATGGGCATGCTATGCTTCCCTCTAGCTCATTGTTTATTCCCTCTTTAGCACCAGGCATAGATGATTCTAGCTTATCTAAGCTAGGATTTGCTTGTCCCTCTTATAACAGCACCTTGGACAGAATCTAAGAATACTCCCACACTGGTCACAGGCCATCCTGCAAGTGGTCCTGTTAGGCCCCATCTCACTGCACTAGAGGTGTAAGAGAGGACTCAGACAACATTCCTGACTCTCCCTAAAGTCCTCCACAGGACCCACTCTCAGCTTTCTCAGCCTCTCCAAGCTTCCCAGTCTTACTTTGTGATTTTCATTAAGAAATGTAGTGGTAGGCCATGTGCAGTGGTTCATGCCTGTAATCCCAGCATTTCGGGAGGCTCAGGAGGGGAGAATTGCTTGAGCCCAGGAGTTTGAGACCAGTCTGGGCACTATGGAAAGACCTTGTCTCTAACAGAAAAAAAAAAAAAAAATGCTGGGTGCTACGGTGTGTGCCTGTAGTCCCAGCTGATAAGGAGGCTGAGGCTATAAGATTGCTTGAGTCTAGGAGTTTGAGGGTGCAGTGAGCTATGATCTCAAAACTACACTCCAGTCTGGGCAACACTGTCTGAAAAAAAAAAGAAAAAAAAAGAAACAAGAAATGAAAAGAAAAAGAATGTAGTAGTCTTTATTCCTTGGCCACTGTGAACACAAGAAGAGTCCTATTTTCACATCCAGATAGACTGATTTAGAATATGTTCTTGTGACACTCCTTTTTTAGGGAGAGAGAGTCTGAAAGTTACATGCTTATGTGAGACACCCAAAAATTACTAGATTCAACTTCAGGAAAATCAATGTAATGATTGTGTGCCAAACCAGGTAACACGGGATCCTCTGTGAGATACCCAAGTATTTCAAATGATTTATTAGAGGAAAACTTAAGATTGATGAAATGCAATGTACTAATTCTGAAAATTATTTTTAAAATTGGCATATTTTGGATTTAAGCAGCAAAACAATGGTAATCAAATGGGAACACAGTCTGAGATCTACTGGTATGCCTGATTATACCAGTAGACAACAGATAATCGCTTTTAGTGGAGACTTTATATTATTTATTTATTGAGACAGGGTCTCATCCTGTTACCCAGACTGGAGTGCAGTGGTGTGATCTTGGATCACACCATCCTCTGCCTTTGGGGCTCAAGCGATCCTCCCACCTCAGCCTCCCCAGTAGCTGGGACCACAGGAGTGTGTCACCATGCCTGGCTACTTCTTATATTTTTAGTAGAGATAGGGTTTGTCATGTTGCCCAGGCTGGTCTCTAAGTCTTGACATCAAGTGATCCGCCTACCTCAGCCTCCCAAAGTGCTCTAATTAGAGGCACTACCCACCATGCCCAGCCAGCAGAGACTTAGAGTAACACCTTTGGATTCAGACTTCCCTGCCACACCCTACTCCTATACACACAAAGTGATTATTTTACCATTTTATTGGATTTTTTCCAAAACAAGTAAGAACATAATTAAATGGCTTTTGTTGTAATTACCAAAAACTAGAAACAAATGTCCTTCAAGTGGGGAATGGGAACTGTGAGTATCCATCCAATAAAATATTACTCATCAGTGAAAAAGAATGAATCACTGATACATGGATAAATCTAAAAGGCGTTATGCTACATGAAAAGAGCCAGACTCAAAAGGCTACATATTGTATGATTCCATTTATATTTTGGGAAAGGAAACAAATCTGTGGTTGCCAGAGACCGGAGAAAGGGGTTAATGACAAAAGAATGCATGGAAATGTTGCCAGTGACAGAACTGTCGTATATCTTGACTTTGGTGATGGATACATGAATGTATAGAATTGTTAAGACTCGCACAACTGTAGACACATACAGGTACCTTTTACTCTGTGCAAAGTATACTTAAATTTTAAAAACAGAAAAAAAAACCCACATGGCTTAACAATGTGCATATTAAGCCAAAAATAACACTAATCGAAATTTTAAAAACAGAATTAGTGTATTTGTTGGTAAGAGTGAAATTATCGCCAATTTTAAATAAGTATTAGAATCCCAAATTCAAAGTATTTTCTCTTCAGAAGTAATTATTATTAATCTGTAATAAATTCCTCTTCTTAAATCAATGAATTCCAGTCTATGCAAATCAGATTTTTAAGGTCTAGCACTTTGCAGGGAAAAACTGAACTCAAGATCTATTTCTTCAAGTGTATGAAATTCACATACCAAACGTTTTTCTATCATCTAAGCTCACCACTTCCAGAGCAAATGTAAACCCACGAATGAGACCAAATCAAGAGTATCTAAGAAGTTAGTAGTAAAGATTCTATAGCACTGATACAGCCTGTTCTCCAGGCAGGCTCCACAATCAATCAATGCTTTATATGAGGTCCAAGGATCTATGAAGAGAACTATAATCACTTTCTTTTCTTTGTGGCATAATTCAGTCAATATTATGGTTGGTACATTTTTAGGGAACAATTAGAAACCACCAAATAAAGAATAAGATGCTGGCATATTACAAGAGTAAAGAATGTGCCACTTTTCTTAGGCTTCACGTACTCTTTATATATAATGTTTCTTTTTAAAAAAATCATGCCATACATAATGAGAAATTTCTGTATTTAGAAAAACATGTGGAATGAGTGTAAACTTGAGTAAATCTAGGTAATTCATTGCATTTTAGCCAACAGCCTAAAAAATGCATATTGCTTCACAAAATTATATATTAGAAATCACCTTAAAAATAAACGAGTCTCATGGACATTCTGAATGACCTTTAAGTCTTATATCCCTTTTACAAGTGGCATCACTATCTGTGCATCTGTGTGTGGTCGGGGGGTATTCATCCAATACCTCAAGCTACTTGGGAACAGTGTCTTTGTCCTTTATCTCTGTCTCTCAGGCCCCTGGCAGAGGCATACAGCATGTAACTTTAAACAAGTGTGAAAAAAATCAGTGAAAATTCATGAAGGTTGGAATAGAAACCAACTGTAGTGTTGACAGTGAGAGTTAACATTTATTGCCTACCAGGCATTGATCACTGGCCTGTGTATTCCACACATACTGACTTTCGGAATTCTCACAATCACCCTGTGACGTAGGAACCATTATTATCCCTGTTCTACTGGGAGGCGTAAAAAGATTAAATAATGTAGAACACACAGGTAACACATAACTAAGCTTAAATTCAAACGCAAGCAGTCTGTCTTTGAAGTCAGCCATCCTAACTATTTTGTAATATTATCTCTCTCATTATATTAGACTACAAAATTCACAGGCCAGGCAGGTAGAAACAGATGTTATATTTTGATTTTTTTCTTATAAAATTATTACCATATGAGTAGATATTTAAGTCTATCCTTTCTAATTTTCTTTTTCATTTTCTCTAATTTTGTAATTTGTTCAATAAGAAACAGTTGTGTAAAAATCACTCTAGTACCTGATTTTTCTAGACTTGGTTGATGAAACTACTCTAAGGAGATTACATTCATCTTACCTGTAAACTGTAAATGACATGTTAGCCTTTCTGGCCCAAGTATTAAGCTAAATATAGGAATTATGTTCTCCAGGTGAAGGTTGCTTTGGGGAATCGTTCATCTAAAACCTAGAACTTTTAGAGGTATCTCTGGAGACAGAACACATGTAAAACGATCCCTTTAAATTGCGGGCTCAAAATAAAAAATTTGGTTTGATTTACAGTTCCATTTACCCATACCCTTTTAGGAAATCATTTGTTCAGTAACACAAGATTCACAATGCTCCCAGAGAAAACACAATCCTTCCTTTAGCAATAGTAAACTCTTAAATGCAAAATATTTATTACAATCAAATTGACAGAAAATTGCCCAGTTTAAGTAAGTCTTCTACTCTTAATCCTGGATTAGATTAATTTCCACATTAATCTTCTTTTTAGTAGGAGCTCAGCCAGAAGCAGGAAAGAGGGTCTTTATGGAAACTTGACTGAAGGATTTCTTTATATTGCTCCAATGAAAAGGGTAGGGAGGAGAAGAGCATCTGATAAGTTGACTGCATTCATGGCCTCCATTAATGGCCTCCTTATTTTTTTCTCTACCTTTTGCCTTGTTACTCTGCCATTTCTCCCATCAAAAAATTGGAGATTATTTTCCCCTCCTGTTAAATCTGGGCTGGCCTGTGACCTCCTATAGCGAGCAGGATGTGGTCAAAGTGACACTGTACTTGATCCAGTTTAGGCCTCAACATGCCTTCAATTCTTCCATTGTCTTGGAGCCCTGTCTTTGCCCTTTGAACAGGCCTGGGCTAGTTAGTCTGTTGAGGATTAGAGAGGACCAGGGTAGAGGAGAACTGAAGTGCCCCAGGCAAACAGCCAAAAGACTCTCAGAACCAGAGTGGCTTAGCAGAATGGCTGACCATACACACAAGGAAGCCAGGAAGAACCACCCAGGATAGGCCAGCTTAAACTGCTAACTCATAGAATTGGCACTAAGTAAATGGTTGTTGTTGAAGTTACTATGTTTGGGATGGTTGTTATATAGCAATAGTTAACAGATACAGTCTCTATTACAGGAAATACAGTCATGCATCACTTAATGAGGGGGATAATTTCTGAGAAATGTGTCCTTAGTTGACTTCATTGTGCAAACATCGCAGAGTGTATTTACACAAACCTAGATGGTGTAGCCTACTACACACCCAGGCTATATGGTATAGCCCATTGCTCCTTGGCTACAAACTATACAGCATGTTACTGTATCGAACTCTGTAGGCAACTGCAAAACAATGGAAAGTATTTGTATATGTAAACATATAAAAGGTACAGGAAAAATTTGATATTATAATCTTATAAGACCACCATCATATATGTGGTTCGTCGCTGATTGAAACGTCATTATGGGGATCATGATGATGTATGTAAAAATAACCCCCAGAATATTTTAAAATATGTATTGGTCTTTTGAATATCGACAATTTATTAAATATTTACACCCCATAGAAGAAATTAAACTGTCATTTAACATAAAGTATAATTATATAAGCTTAATTTATTTTCCTTGGTATATTTTTTATACATTCCTAATTCTTAATAAATGTGTTGACTTGAACTGGCTAACTGGTTGTCTTCAATAATGCAATGCTTTATTAGAAGGATATTAATGGTAAAATCTTAGACCCTCTATGAACTCAGGAATTATAAGCGTATGATATATAAAAGTCTTAACATTTTGTATCATACCTTAAGTAATACAATAACTGCTAAGCTGAAGGACAACTATAACATTCTTTAAAAATCTTAAATAAGGATTAGGGCAATGACATTGTTATTGAATTTGTCTTGTTCTGTTTTGTTTCTGAGCAATGAGTCACAATTAGAACATTTTCTACTTCCATCCAGTGTTTGTATCTGTGTGTTTGTGTATATGTATATATATGGAGATCTTCTCAAAAGAATATTTATCCTTACTACCTCTGATATTACTATTTTCTAGTATATTCTGTTATGTTCTATTGCACTGTTCATTTTTGTAAAATGCTGATGTCCAACCAATAAACTGATGTCATAACCTACCCGTGGGTCAAGACCACTAGTTTGAAAAACACTGGAGTTAGTTTACATCTGCTGTGAATCATGGTCATCGGAAAATGTTTTGATGATAAAGTACTTGCCTAAGGGTTGAGCTGTTCTTTGCTCAGTGTTAAGACTTTTTTCTCCATTGCAAGTGGCCACAGGTAGTTTTTCCAATATAGTAATGACAACGATTAACAAGTGCCTGGTGCTTTTCAGATTACAAAGCATTTTTCAAATATATTACTTCAAACCTCCATTGGGTTAATTGGCAAAGGAAATACAATATTGTGCAATTAAGTTCAATTCTAGGTAGATCTGTAATTTTATTATTCAAGATAAAGTGAACCTTCAGCAACTAAGACATATGACACCATTTTCCCATGTCCTGGTAATCTAGTTAGTTTTGAATGTGTGATGTGCAGGGATCTTCTGGAAGAGGCATACATTATTTTAAACAAAAAGTGCCTCGTAGCGGTATAAAATAATTCAACCTAATAAGTCAACCATATCAGGTTGCACTATAGTCAAACGAAGTTACAAAGCCAAAGATTGGTAGCCTGTATATTACATAAGCCTTTATATGAAGAAAAGCCTTTTTTTTTCTTGATTAAGCACTCCTCAGGAAAGAGGAGCCTGATTTATACTCAAGTCCTAACAAAGTCACTCATGTTACCAGTGTCTTCGTAATTACCTTATTTTGAACAACAGAACAATGTTTGGGGAAGATACATTAGCCCAAAATTACCTCTACTAATCCTAGTTTGGATACTTCTAGAGGTTTACTTAAATGAAACAAATATATCAGAAAGTTAAACAAAAATGAGCACAGACTTAGTAATTATTCCCAGGTGGGTATAACCTAACAATTGCAAATGTTGTACACAATTTAAAGAGGTTTGCAGCACCTCAAACAATATAAATATAAGTGAAAAATATGTGTTCTGGAAAAGTCTACTAGATGACTTCAAAATGTGCTCCAGTGGTCACAAAGACAATGTGTCCAAGAGTCACGTGAAGATTTAGCAGGGAAAAGGTTCTCTGAAATGTGTACAATATAGCACTATTCATAACAAACATATTGTTTAGTATAAATGCTTTCAATATATGTGTGAATAGCAAAGTCCCGGAGTTAATTTAGGTGCCTGTCAAGGGTGGATTTGATAAAGAAAATGTGGTATATGTACACCGTGGGATACTACACAGCCATAACAAGAAACGAAATCATGTCCTTTGCAGCAACATAGATGCAGCTGGAGGCCATTATCTTGAGCAAATTAATGCAGGAACAGAAAACCAAATACTGCATGTTCTCGCTTATAAGTGGGAACTAAATATTGGATACTGGTGAACACAAAGATAGCAACAATAGAAACTGGGGAATACTAGAGTGGGGAGGGAGGAAAGGGACCAGGAGTTGAAAAACTCAGGTACCATGCTTAGTTCTTGGGTGATGGGAACATTCATACCCAAAACCTCATCATTAGGCAATATTCCCAGGTAACAAACCTGCACATGTACTCCCTGTATCTAAAATAAAAGTTGAAAATAAATAAATATATGTGAAGAGAGACACTGCTAGATATCAACTCAATATTCTTCCTGTCCTCTGTGAATAAAACCACAAATTCATGTAGACCAGAAATGCATTTAGCCCCAGGCAATAAATCATGGTTTGTCGAAAATGGTGATTCTCAGACCTAGTGGCAAATTAAAGTCACCTGAGGATAAATATGTCAGTCTCGTATTGGTATATGGGTAGGTCAATGGATCAGAAGAGAGTCCAGAGATAGACTGACATATATAAAATCAATTAATTTTTGACAAGGGTGCCAATGAAATGGACTAGGAAAAGGAAATTTTCTAAGTGAATAGTGCTAGAGTAACTGTACATCAACAAGGAAAAACAACAACAACAAATAAAATTTGACCACCAATTCCTATCAGTTATTGGCTGAAGGATGCCCTTAGGGAAGTCAATACCTCTGAATTCCAGCTTGGTGAGTGGGCCAAGAGTTTCTGTCGTTTCAATAGAGCACTCTGCACATGATATCAACAGGCTGATGCCAGTAAGAATATTCTGGAATGCTCAGGTCTGAGGGCTATGAGAACACTCATAGTATTTGCTACAGGAGACCATATTATTGTTAATCCAAACTGGAATACTTCAGAGAGTGAGAATGGGCATTATTAAGAATTTCTACTGAGAAAACAGGCATAAAAAGGGACTGTCCCAGAAAAACCTGAACATGTGGTCACCTAGATATAAGTAAGGCAAAACAAAGCTATAATGGCACCACAGAAACCATTTTAACTCAAGCCTATTGAACTGATGCTAATTATAGCCATGACAGGAAGTCATGGCATAGCTTAATGCTGTTCCCTACATACACATCTCTGTCAAATAGTAAGTGGTCTGGCTAGCGAAATTCTACACTCAGTGCTCTATATACAGCAGGGGTGAGTAAGGGACAGTGGATGGGGAAAGCAAGTGAGAATTCAATTTGCCTTGTGAGCTAATGAGATTTTATTGAAAACAATCTTAGAAACAGTGTGGTCCAGCTGCACTGCTTATGCACGAAGCAACTATTTAATAAAATGGAAATTTTCATCAAAATGTATTCTAATTTATTCTAATGCTATATGAGATCACTGGATTAGAATTAGGCATTACCAATTTATATGACCTACTTTTCATCTTTTTTTTTTCTTCCATTCCAGCATTCTGCAGGGATAAGAGAAAAGTGAAGTATGAAGTTTTCTTGGTGTTAGTGACCCTAAGCAGCTCCAAAACAGGATTCACTGACCTTTAGGCATAGTTTTCACAAGGGAAGTCAGCAGGTTCACATCCAAGAGATTTTGGTGGCTATTCATTACAGTCTAGAAGAGCCATGCTGTCTTTGCATACAGAGACTAGCAGGTGCCTGATGCAAAGCAATGCCCCTTGGGAGTCAAGCTTCACCAAGGACTTCCATGCTTGTTTGGATGGCTGGATCTCGACATTGCCAAGTTGTGTATCCTCCCCTCCTCTGCTTTTCTTTCCTTTCTATCCAGTCTATGATAGATGTACCACTCTAACCTCACTCCCCCATCACTCATACGTCTTACTTCCTATCTTTCATGTATTGAATTTGTGAAGATCTGCTTGAGCCATCAAGTAATAGCATCACCTAGGTCCTTCAGGGCTTCCTACCTTTTCAAAGAGCTTGCAGAGGGCAGCTGTCAGTCTTGACCCACCAATGAGAAAATACTCACACCCAGATTCCTAAGTCCATGGCAAAAAATATCTTTCATCCACGGGCATTCCTAATTCCAGTGGCCTTTAGAGCAGCAAACCAGTGATGTCACCACAAACTTCACCATCAAAAAATCTGTTCCAATTCTGAAGGCTTTTTGGGGAGAGGGACCTAGGAATGTGTCTCACTCGCAACTATGTAATCTGAGTTGTAGGAAAATTCCCTTTTCTATTATCTTAACCATAGCAGATGCCTCCTAAAAGGGGCACATGCCCTTCTAATAACCAGCAGGAAGAAAATATAGGAACCACTTTGAACAGCATATACAGTTTCTTTGTAATCTGACCCTCATCCAACCATGCCTCAGCTGCAGTCACTCCTTGCCTTATACTTCATTCTCCAACAACTCAAAGTCTCTGATAGATTCTGGAAGCTCTGGCAGGTCTTCATGCTTTTGACCATGTTGTTTCCCCTGCTTTGAAAGACCTCTCCTGCTCTTATCCGCCTGGCAAACTCCTCTCTGTGCACCAAGCCTCAGCTCCAAGGCTACTTTCCTTACTCTCCCTAGCAGATATAAAGCTTTTCTCCTTGAGGACTGCACCGTTCTTGGCCTAACCATCATCACTGTTGTTGCTTGAATGTTTGTGTTCCCCCCAAATTCCTATGTTGAAACTTAACTCCCACTGTGATCGTATTAAGAGGTAGGGCCTTTGGGAGGCGATTAAGTCATGAGGACATCCCCTCACAAATGAGGTTAGTGTCCTTACAAAACAGACTTGAGGGAGCCTGTTTGTCCCTTTGCACTTCTGACAAGTGCAGACACAGTTTAAAAGCACTCATCTATGAGAACAGACCACTACCAGACACTGACTCTGCTGGTGCCCTTGATCTTGGACTTCCCAGCTTCTAGAACTGTAAGCAATAAATTCCTAATGTTTATAAATTAACCAGTCTAAGGTATTGTTGTAATAGCAGTCTGAACAGACCAAGACAATCAGAGTACATATCTTATGTCTCCTATGTTGTTTTGTTTGTATCACTCCTGTAAATTCTGTGAATAAAAGGAACTATGTCTTTTCATCTCTGAATCCACAGCAGCTAGCAAAGTCCCTGGCATATTGTTGGGAGCTCAATAAATATTTGTAGACCGACAGCCTCAAAGTAAGATGAAATGCATCATGGCTCTTGCCCCCTGACCTGGCAGCCAGCAATGTCTCTGTTATATTGTTGGGGCTTAATAAATATTTGCTAACTGACAGACAGAAAGGAAGATTAAATGCACTATGAGTAAACTTAAGTTCACTAAAAGTTTAAAATGGAACTTTTGTAGGTATGCTTTATTGATTGTTTTTCCTACTTTATTAGACTGTGGATTAAGGGATTTTTTTTTAAAAGGAAAGGTTAAAAAAGCCACTCAAAGATGGCAAAAGATATGATGAAGGGTATCTAACTCCCAACCACCTTACAGATGCAAAATCATTTGGAGCACAAGGTCACAAAACCCAACAGATTACAAATAATAAAGTAAAATAGATGCGAAAATTGTAACATAGACAATACAGGTATTTATAGTAGCAATCTATGTTATGTGATTATTAAGTGATTTTCTCCTTAATTAACTAACTAAAAATTGAAAAGTATTAAATGGGAAACACTAAAGGAGTAAGATTGCTTTTGCTATGCACCTTGAAAGCATTCTTTTAAGCCTGCATTTCACTTCCCCAATGTCAGATTTTCACAGATATGGGATGGCGCCCATCAGATATAGAAATGATAGGTTTAAGCTTAAATCCCAGTTTTTCAATAACTCCTCGTGTGTTTGATTTTGCAGCTGTGTCAGGGAAAATGTACTCATTCTCAACTAATTCTCCACTAAATGTACTAAGTCAGGAATTGAAGTGAGTTGGCCTGCCTGTTAATACTTTGCACCTAAAACAATGACAGTAAATCTCTGGCAACAGGCTTGAGCCTCAGTTCCTCAGGCTTCTAACCCACCATCCTCATGGTCATAAATTTTGAATGGGTAACATTGGAAGCATGAATAATTAGGGGAGGGCACAGCTAATATGCTCAGTCACATCAGAGAAATGGCACAGTGAGTGATCTGCCAGTAATCAAAAGAAACAAATTGAGACTCAGGGCCTTCTGCTTATGGGGCTCACTGGGGTCACACACAGCGACAGACTGTCTCATCTTTGCTGCTTCAGACAGACAGACACGAAGACATGGCTTTAATGACAGCTCAGATTTCAGAGTGGACGTGACCTAAAATCACCAGGAAGCACAGAGCAAAGGGAAAGTGAGTTGTCCATCTATGATACTTTCTGTCGATCACAATAAGAGTTAAAGGATGCTACATCATTCCAATAGTCTTCATAATTAATTTTGGAATCTTGCCACCATTCATGATTTAAGGGTTCCAGTTCTCATGTAGCTTCAGGCAAAGTTTTCTTTCCAATTACTTCCAATGATGGACAGGCCTTTACCCACACAAGGATAATGTGAGAATGATAACAAGTCATGAATTACCGATGAAGTGTTTTATTAACTTACCTCGAAAATATTTAAAATTGCTTATTAGCAATTTCTAATCTCTCAAGAGACCCCAAAATGAGGCACATTAGAAATAATTACACCTTAAAATAGATCATCTTTTCACAAATATAAATGCCTTTTTAAAGACGTCAAAGACCACTAACAGCGTTTTGGAAATCTTCTATTTAAATAACTCTATTTCTTATGTAAATCGAACACTTGGATTTTTTAAATTACATTTCCTTAGTTAAAAACTACAGTTGACGATTTATGCAACCAAAATATTTCATTTTGATTTTCAGAAATATCCATGCAAGTCTTAGGATTTCATTTCCCCAGAAGAGAATTTCAGAATTCCTTCTAAATTCTGAAATCTCCTGAAACTTCCTTTGCTTTCTTTTTAAGTTGGTCTTTCCTAAAATCTCGAGTTAAAATGAAAAGACCATACCTCTTTAGAAGTAAATCTCTCAGCTTATCCATTCATTTAGGAGGAATAGTCCTATATAGCCTGAAAACTAATCACCAATTATTCCCTTCTACGGGGATAATATTAAAGCTGATTCTTGCATACCACCTTCCTTCACCTACTAATACTCTAATCAAATACTCACAGCCACATTCAGATTGTGAATCTTCTGGCAAAAGATTAACTGGGGAAGGTTGAAGCAGATCTTTTGGGTATTTGGTCTTCAAAGATAGACTCGTTTCTCTGGACTGATACTGCTTTAGTAGCTGCTTACAAAAATAACACATGAATTTTGACCTCAGTAGTAGACCTGCCCTTCCCGTCAGAAGGCCACCATTTTAACAAAAGATGTGTTTTGCTGGTGCCTATAAAACCCAAGAGGACGTAGCAGATACTGCTGCTGCCACCAGAGTTGCCACCTCTGTCCCTTTTGCAGGGTCTGTGCTCCCATTCCCAGCTTTTACATGCTTTATTTCCAACTGCAGCCTTCTTCAGAAGGCTGAGAATGGAAATGGTAATCTGGATGGCAACAGAAGATACTGCTGCAGCAGTATCTGTAGCAGCCTTCTTCAGAAATTTCTCTTTTGCTACTGCAACTGCCCTAACACTATGGAGAGCTGGAAGTGCTTGGGAGGTGATAGCCCACCCAGGAGGGCCCATAGCCAGTGACAGATGGATGAAGGAATGTAAAAGCCAAGCTACCTTGCCTCCAGGCAGGACATACTCTGAGGTGCTATTTATGTTCCAGAGTACTCTATGAGGTCATGAAGAGGCTGGAACTT